>NC_000011.10:48241818-48544848 GCF_000001405.40 Homo sapiens | reverse complement strand
TTTGAAAAGATCAACAGAATTGAAAGACCGCTAGCATGACTAATAAAGAAGAAAAAGAGAAGAATCAAATAGACGCAATAAAAAAAGACAAAGGGGATATCACCACTGATCCCACAGAAATACAAACTACCATTAGAGAATACTATAAACACCTCTGCGCAAATAAACTAGAAAATATAGAAGAAACGGATAAATTCCTTGACACGTGCACCCTCTCAAGACTAAATCAGGAAGAAGTTGAATCTCTGAATGGACTAAAAACAGACTCCAAAATTGAGGCAATAATTAGTAGCTTACCAACCAAAAAAAGTCCAGGACCAGATGGATTCACAGACGAATTCTACCAGAGGTGCAAAGAGGAAGTGGTACCATTCCTTCTGAAATTATTCCAATCAATAGAAAAAGAGGGAATCCTCCCTAACTCATTTTATGAGGCCAGCATCATCCTGATACCAAAGCCTGGCAGAGACACAACAAAAAAAAGAGAATTTTAGACCAATATCCTTGATGAACATTGATACAAAAATCCTCAATAAAATACTGCAAACTGAATCCAGCAGCACATCAAAAAGTTTATCCACCATGATCAAGTGGGCTTCATCCCTGGGGTGCAAGGCTGGTTCAACATATGCAAATCAATAAACGTAATCCAGCATGTAAACAGAACCAATGACAAAAACCACATGATTATCTCTATAGATGCAGAAAAGGCCTTTGAGAAAATTCAACAACCTTCATGCTAAAAACTCTCCATGAATTAGGTATTGGTGGGATGTAACTCAAAATAATAAGAGCCATCATTGACAAATGCACAGCCAATATCATACTGAATGGACATAAATTGGAAGCATTCCCTTGGTAAACTGGCAGAAGAGAGGGATGCCATCTCTTACCACTCCTATTCGACATAGTGTTGCAAGGTCTGGCCAGGGCAATCAGGCAGAAGAAGGAAATAAAGAGTATTCAGTTAGGAAAAGAGGACATCAAATTGTCTCTGTTTGCAGATGACATGATTGTATATCTAGAAAACCCCATTGTCTCAGCCCAAAATCTCTTTAAACTGATAAGCAACTTCAGCAAAGTCTCAGGATACAAAATCAATGTACAAAAATCACAAGCATTCTTACATACCAAAAACAGACAAACACAGAGCCAAATCATGAGGGAATACCCATTCACAATTGCTTCAAAGAGAATAAAATACCTAGGAATCCAACTTACAAGGGATGTGAAGGACCTCTTCAAGGAGAACTACAAACCACTGCTCAAGGAAATAAAAGAGGATACAAACAAATGGAAGAACATTCCATGCTCATGGGTAGGAAGAATCAATATCGTGAAAATGGCCATACTGCCCAAGGTAATTTACAGAATCAATGCCATCCCCATCAAGCTACCAATGACTTTCTTCACAGAATTGGAAAAAACTACTTTAAAGTTCATATGGAACCAAAAAAGAGCCTGCATCACCAAGTCAATCCTAAGCCACAAGAACAAAGCTGGAGGCATCACGCTACCTGACTTCAAACTATACTACAAGCCTACAGTAACAAAACAGCATGGTACGTGTACCAAAACAGACATATAGACCAATGGAACAGAACAGAGGCCTCAGAAATACTGCTGCTTATCCATGACTATCTGATCTTTGACAAACCTGAGAAAAACAAGCGATGGGGAAAGGATTCCCTATTTAATAAATGGTGCTGGGAAAACTGGCTAGCCATAAGTAGAAAGCTCAAACTGGATTCCCTCCTTCCACCGTATACAAAAATTAATTCAAGATGGATTAAAGACTTACACATTAGACCTAAAACCAAAAAAACCCTAGAAGAAAACCTAGGCAATACCATTCAGGACATAGGCATGGGCAAGGACTTCATGTCTAAAACACCAAAAGCAATGGCAACAAAAGCCAAAATTGACAAATGGGATCTAATTAAACTAAAGAGCTTCTGCACAGCAAAAGAAACAACCATCAGAGTGAACAGGCAACCTACAGAATGGGAGATCATTTTTGCAACCTGCTCATCTGACAAAGGGCTAATATCCAGAATCTACAATGAACTCAAACAAATTTACAAGAAAAAATCAAACAACCCCATCAAAAAGTGGATGAAGGATATGAACAGACACTTCTCAAAAGAAGACATTTATGCAGCCAAGAAACACATGAAAAAATGCTCATCATCACTGGCCACAAGTGCTGAAGAGGAAGTGGAGAAATAGGAACACTTTTACACTTTTGGTGGGACTGTAAACTAGTTCAGCTATTGTGGAAGTCAGTGTGGCGATTCCTCGGGGTTCTAGAACTAGAAATACCATTTGACCCAGCCATCCCATTACTGGGTATATACCCAAAGGATTATAAATCATGCTGCTATAAAGACACATGCACACATATGTTTATTGTGGCACTATTCACAATAGCAAAGACTTGGAACCAACCCAAATGTCCAATAATGATAGACTGGATTAAGAACATGTGGCACATATACACCATGGAATACTATGCAACCATAAAAAAGGATGAGTTTATGTCCTTTGTAGGGACATGGATGAATCTGGAAACCATCATTCTCAGCAAACTATCACAAGGACAAGAAACCAAACACCACATGTTCTCACTCATAGGTGGGAATTGAACAATGAGAGCACATGGACACAGGAAGGGGAACATCACACATCAGGGACTGTTGTGGGGTGGGGGTGAGGGGGGAGGGATAGCATTAGGAGATATACCTAATGCTAAATGACGAGTTAATGGGTGCAGCACACCAACACGGCACATGTATACATATGTTACAAACCTGCACGTTGTGCACATGTACCCTAAAACTTAAAGTATAATAATAAAAAAAGAAACAGAACACAATGGTAAGAGCCTAATAAGAGAAACATATTAAATAACAGGATAAATGTAAAAATAAAATAATTTAATAAACTGCATAAATTCTAACCAAAAGAACACTATTTATATGCTAATGTCAGAGAAAACTAGACTTCAAGGCAAGTAATATTGCCAGAAATAAATTTTTATAATGGCAAAAGATTAGTAACATGAAGATAAAATGATAAATTCATTTGTACCCGAAAGAACAACTTTATAAGTTATTTTTTTTAAATAGACTGACCTACAAGGAGAAATAGGCAAATCAGCAATAACACAGGAAAATTTTAGCACAACTCTACGTGCTAGAATATACACATACAAAAATTTATAAATATATTTAGGATTTAAATAAAACCATTAATATGTCTGACCCATTGACATATGAAACGATCACATACAGCAGTGGCAAAATGCACATTCTTTTCAAGAGCACATGAAACATTTTCTAAAATCAATTATATGCTGGTTCTCAAAGCAACCCTCAATGAATTTCAAGTAATCATCATAATAAAATATGTCACCGAACAACAAGAAAATCAGCTAAAAAATGAAAAACTAAAATTAGCCAGAAATTTTCTATGGCTCAACATTAAACAAATCACTTCTAAATAATCCATTGGTGAAAATAAATCACAGAAGTTAGAAAATACTTTGAGCCTAATAATAACAAAAATACAACATATCAAAGCTTGTAAGGCTCAGCTAAAATATTACTTGCATTTGCTAGAAAATAGTAAAGGCCAAAAATCAGTGCACTAAATATCTATTCAAGAAATCGTTTCACTTAGCATAATGTCCTCTAGTTAAATCCATGTTGTCACATATGATATAAAAACATCACATTGTACTCCACAAATACATACAATTACTGTTCTTCAATTAAAAACAAAACAAAACAAAGAGGTTATTAAGTCTTCCAGGTTCATTCATATTGTCAAAAATAGCAGGATGTTCTTTTGAAGGGTTAAACATTTTATTATGAAATATTATTGCATTGCATATACAAATACAAAGGGCAAAGGGTACAAATTTTAATTTATGATGGATGAAGAAATACTGGTGATCTAAGGTACACCATAATGTCTGTAGCTAATAATACCACATATTTTGTGAGTATATGTGTGCATGTGTAGATTAGGTATGTAGATAGATAGATAGATGATAGATAGATAGATAATAGATGATATAGATAGATAGATGATAGATAGATAGATAGATAGATAGATAGATAGATAGATAGATATCACATTGTCTTTATTCGTTCATCTGTCAATGGACATCTAAGTTGTTTCCATATCTTAATGATTATGAATAATGCTGCAGTACCTATGGGAACAGGTAAATCTTCAAGATTCTAATTTCATTTTCTTTTGATACATACCGAGTAGTGGGATTGCTGGATCATATGGTAGTTTTATCCTTCGTAGTTTCTTCTATAATGGCTGTATCTATTTTCATTCTCACCAATCATGTAAAAGGGTGCCCTTTTCTCCACACTGAAGGTAAAGACCACATTATCTCAATTAAATGTGGAATCTAAAACAAAATGTCAAACTCATAGAGCAGAGAGTACAATGGTGATGGCCAGGGACTGTGGGGAGGGAGAAATGAGGAGATGTTGGTCAAAGAGTACAAAGTTTCAGTTATGCAGAATGAATAAGTTATGGAAAGCTAAGTTACAGCATAGAGACTATACTTGGTAATACCATATCGTATACTTGAAGTTTGCTGAGAAAATACAACTTAAATATTCTCAGCACACAAAAAAGATAACTATGTGAGGTCATGAGCATGTTGATTGTGGTAATCATTTCACAAGGTATATATTTACCAAAACATCACATTGTACGTCTTAAATATATATTATAAATTTTTGTCAAATACACTTCAATAAAGTTAGAGAAAATAAAAAACAAACTATGTTTTAAAGATGACAACAACAAAAGGAGTAAACAGTCTGTATGGAATGGCAAAAACAGACAAAACTCTGCAAATGCTGCACTGTCCCTGGAAGGTGGTCTGGAAGCTCTGGAGTGAAGGAAAGGCCTCCTAGAGGGTACTATTTTGAGCAGTCAGTCTTGTTTTCTGCTGTATGTGGAAGGAATAATCACCATACTTATGGATCTAGGCTGAAAATGGATATTGTCTCACAGATTGGATGAGCTAATGAGGAAATTGGAAATTTAAAAATGGAAAAATGATGACAAAGTAGTTGGAAGAACCATATGTGGATGAATCTCTCAAAATGAACACCAAATACTACAATGTTAGTTTCCGACATAAATACCTAACAAAAAGAAACTACTGCAGAGGATGCTTTCAGGAATCTCATAAACATGAACTACACTTTGGATGTCAGTCAGCCTTTTTCCCAGTTACCTTTGTAGTCACTTTTGCAGAGATGAAAACTGTACAAAGCCTCAACGTCTTAAATGCCATCAGCAATGTCCATCATTGACTCATTAACATGGTACAAATAGCTGGGAAGCCAGCCAACAACCCTGTGACAGCTTACTTCATTGCAACCCCTAAGTCTAGAGAAGATAGCATTTTGTCATCATATATTCTGGTTATATATTTCTTCTAGCAGTTGCCTTATTTATTACTCACAGAGTAGAATCCGTTATCCAGTGCCATGGTATCTCATTTATTCTCTATCCATACCAAACATCTCTAGTAAATAAAGTAAAATATATCACTCACCACAATAGAATTTACTGGTATAACCACATTTCACATCACATAGAAGCTGAACAATTGCGACATTGGAATGTCCTCCCTAAGGGTGGGTCATGGTGCCAGCTGGACAATCCTAACCTGAGAATGTGAAATGCTCATTTCCATATGTTTGACACACAGTATGTGCTCAGTAAGTTATAGTCATCATATGTCCATGTTACATATATTCTGATAAATTATCCCAATGCTAATAAACATTCCCCAATACAGTCAACTATTTTGCCATTTTTGTTCCAATATCCACAAGGTCCATTTCCACACATTCCTCCAATTCTTGCCAGAGCGTATTATTTAGACTCTGCAAATAGTTAATCAAATGAAATATTTCTTTCTACAACAAGGTTATATTTCCCACTTGCACTCAAGTGACACTTGAATACATATCTAAATGCAAAAAGGGACTTCTCTGGAAAAGGACATGAGGCCTTTGGGGAGGTGGCTTTCTGCAACTTCTACAGATATTGAAAGGGCTAATATCTGAAGGTTGTCTACTAACAGCATGCCCAGCAACTGGAAAAATGCATCCTTCTTTCCTAAAGAGAGGGCAAGGAAGTACATACTTATATCTAACAGAGTCTACCTCTTATGTCACTGGAATCCATTTCTTCATATACACATGAGAATAGTCTCTTTAGGATTCTGTTTTTGGGGGGAAATTAGAAGAGAAAGTTTAAAGGAGAAACTACGTCTCATGCCACCTTGGCTGATCATAGAGTTGCAACTGCTATTTAGCATCTTATTCCTTCATTGTCTATTCTATTTCTCCCACTTCACCTTCTACTAGCACCGCTACTGATCTCATGACTTACTTAAACATGTAGCTTAGACCTTCATCCCCAAAATGTCTCATCCCTGATCACTGTACTCATTCAGAACAGGATTCTTGTACTTTCTCACTTATTATCACAATTTGACAGGGCATGACAAGATGTGCCCATGTCAGTCACCTGGAAGACAAAAATATCACTCCCTGCCACTATTGTGTTATAACACCTCCATTCCACATCATAATCAGGCCAATTACCTCTGCCACAGTGGTGAAAAGAGCCTTCTCTCAGTGGCTACAGATAGCAACCCTTCTTGTGATAAGAGAGCGAGATTAAATCCAACATGGGACACACAGGATACAATCAACAAAGAAAAGGGCTTCTTCATTAAACAATTAATCAATTTTACACACTTACCATGAAGCTGGACATAACATTGAATTTTACACTTAGGTTAGCCAACAAATAAATTTTCTTCCATTTCAAAATAGATTGATTTTTCTGTCATTTGTAACAAAAACATCATAACTGAAACATCCCCAATTTAAATATATATAGGAAACTGAAGTAATGTATAAGTCCTATTATTTTTTACAAATGTATATATTTGAAACAGAACCACATTGTTTTAATTGTTATAACCTTATAATCTGTCTTATCCAGAATAGCTCATCATTCTTTCCATATTTAATTGCAATGTCCATATCTTTATGCTTCCAGATGAACTTTTACAATCAAAGGAATATCAAGAATAGTCCAGTTTTATGTAGAAAAAAGTCAAAATATATTTATTATTTTTCCCCAAGGATATATACTTAGTACACTGACATAATTTGGTGAAATAAAATTTATACAGGAATACAATAAAAATAAATAAATTCATTTTGATTTGATTAATTCATTGATAACATCATAATAGTTGATTCCTCAGAAGAAGCTTGGAGGAGTATGGGAGTAACAGTAAATATCACTAGTCTAGTGTAATTGATCAGTCTAGCCAAAATACAGAGTTTGGAGTAATCAGGCAAGTTCCTTGGAACAACATGGTCCATGACCAACTGAGACATTTTAGAAACCTTAGCAAATATACCATCTGTTTCACATCCTAGTAACACAAAAGAAATGACAATGACTCTAGGATATTTATAATGGGAAGTTACTCACACAATGCCATTAGAACCCAATAACCTTAATGCCCAGTTGTTTTCAGAAGTGTCCACTATGTGAAGTTAAGCACACTGGAGACCCCTGCAGAAGCCTAATTCTGCCACACTAGGATTAACACTGGGATTTGGGATTTTATATTATACAGCTTACATTACAAACCACATAATAATGGCTTATTCAAAAGATGAATTGGTTAAAGATAAGTTAGTTAAAAGGAATTGGTTAAAGATAAATTAGTTAAAAGGAAAAATCATGTCACATGGGAAAGGAGCACACAGATGGGTGATAACACCTAGAATGGACACTATTAATCTTTACCCATGACATTATCTTGTCTCCAGAGAATAAAACTCCAGTTTCTCTCATATGTGACATGAAGTCAGCTAACGCTAGGAAAAGACAATGAACCCCTTCTCACTTTAATGGGAGAATTACTCTGAAGTTATTTAATGCTCTGTCTGAGAATTGTATTATTTGTAGGAAAGATACGAGGCAGTAAATGCTTCTGTTGATACAATTACATAAGAACAAATTAGAGCTATAAAAAGGTGAAGATGATGAAAGATAAAGAAAGAAAAGGAGTAGCCCAATTGATAACGGACATTGAAAAGTGCTACTGCATAATCCCTAATTCTGGGATGTTGACATTAATGCTGAGATATGGACCTTCTTAAGTTTCAACAAAAAGCTGAAAATTTACTATATCACTCTACTAGGGCAGAAATTGAACTTCAAACTCTTTTCCAACACCCCTTGCACTAGCAAATTGCTGGAATTTCCTCTCACTCTTTCAATCTTTTACCTATTTTGTGTTAGAGGAGAGCTAAACATGGTCTCAACCTGTCATATGCAATTCAGTAATGAGCTCAGTACTTGAGGAATGAGAAAGGTCATAGCCAGCAGACCTGTATTATAAAAAGTGCAAAAAAAGTAAAAATCATAATTTATAGAAAAGAATTCAGAAAGTAGATATAATACATAACGATTAAACAGAGATTCTCTTTCTTTCTTAGTTGTTTTATAAAAATTGTTCAAAGAGAATGAATAACAATATATTCAGAAGTTAACAACATGCAGCAGTAAAATATATAAAACAATTTCAAGTGCTGTGGGATGTTAAGTAGAATGACACTTTCAAAAGATTTTTTTGTTTCTATTGAGAAACTGAGTCCTGCCAACAGCCAGCTTGGAAGTGGATCCTTCCTCAGTCAAGCCTTCATATGAAACTGTAGCCCCAGCCAGATGATGATTACAGATTTGTAAAAGACCCTGAAGCACTGGCATCTGCTAAGCCATCCTTACTTCCATGGCCTACAGAAATTGAGACATAATAAGTACATAGTGTTTTGAGCCTATGTTTTAGAGTAACTTATATTTAGAACTCAACACTAAAAAACATACCAAAATTTGCGAGATGTAACTAAAATATTACTGAGAGGGAAATTTATAGCTATAAGTGTTACATTAAAAATAAATGTTTAAAAGCATCAATCTGAATTTTCACTTTAAGAAGAGTACATTAGAGCCAAGGCAAGTAAAAGAAAGGACATAATAACTATAAGGATCAAAAATCAATAAAATGGGAAACATAAAATAGAGAAAATCAAAATAGTGGAAAGTTGGTACTTTTATAATAAACTTGATAAACTTCTAGCAAGAATGATCAAGAAAGAGAAAAGAAATGGAAATTCAAATTACCAATATCAGACATTTTTACAAAATCATCTTCAAATAGATCCTTTAGACTTTAAAGGGATAGAAAAGAGTTGTTATGAAAAACATTATTTTAATTAATTTGGCAGCACAGATAAAACAGTAAAATGTAGGGAAAATGCAACTTTCAGAAAATGACCCCAAAACAAATTGAAAACCTAAACACTCCTCTATCCCTCTAAGTAATGAACTATTCTTGTTTATAGATAATACAATAGTATCTCAGAAAATTCTAAAGATTCTACAGAGATGGCTAGAAAGAAGTGGCAAATTTAGCACGTTTATAAGACTCAAATGACAAAAAATTCAATTGCATTTATATATACTAACAGCAATCACTGATGAAATTTTTATTAATTAAAAACCTGTGAAAGCATCTGAACACATAAATAGGAACAGATGATGTAAGATCCCTACACTAATAACTACAAAAGTTTTCAAAAATAAATATTTAAAACACCTAATAGATATATTGTATTCAAGAATTAGAAAACCCACTCTTGTTAAGATGTTAATTCAGTGCAAGATGATTAATAGATCCAACTCAGTCTCAAAAAAACTCCCAATATGTTCTTTTTCAGAGGTAGACAACTGTTCTGCACACTGCTGTGCAAAGTGACTTTGCCATTTCCCCATCAAGGGTTATCATCTGTTTCTGTAACATTTCAAATCTGGAATGGTCATGTGACCAATCTGAACCATAGAAGATGTTGTAACTGACATTGTGCCTGTTCTGGACATGGCCCTTAATTGGCCTGACATCCTCTACTTTCTACCATGGGGGTCTCTTAATCCCATGTAAAAAGGCTATCCTGTGAGAGACCTTATGGTCCTTCATCTAAATGGATAGGAGGAAGGACTCAGTAGATCTCTTCCAGTCATCACCTCCAAGATGCTATAAATGTGAAATAAGCTTTCCTGGGCCCTACAGATGACTCAGAAATCAGCTGAATAACATTGAGTGACTTTAGTCCCAGCCACATGAAGCAGAAGAAATACCCAGTGAACACTGCCTGAATTCCTAGCCCATAACATTTGAAGATAAAATAAATTATTGATTAAGTCACAAAAACAGTGGAGCCTTCTATGATGCAGGAACAGATAACTAGAATAAAAAGTGGCATCTGTGAGTGTGGTGCTTCCATAACAACAATCTAAAGCACGAGACATTGGCTTTAATACCAGAAGCTAGATGACAGTTAGAAGGTATCTTGGATGGTGTAACTGATGGCTGAAAACACAGAAGTAACTGGGGGGAAAATGTGACTCCTTATCTAGTGCCAGAAAGATATGGTGACACTGCCACCTATAGTAATGTAGAAAACAGAAAGTGTACTTAAATGAACAGGTGAATCCAGCTGAAATTTTCAAGTACAGTATTGAAAGTTCAACCTGTTTCTTAAACAGTGTAGGATATGATAAGGCATAAATAAAAATATGAGTTAAAAGAGTAACTTGAATTTTCAGGCAGAACTTACAAGAAAAATGAAACAGGGGGGTGGAGCCAAGATGGCCAAATAGGAACAGCTCTAGTCTACAGCTCCCAGCATAAGCGACCCAGAAGACAGGTGATTTCTACATTTCCATCTGAGGTACTGGGTTCATCTCACTAGGGAGTGCCAGAGAGTGGGTGCAGGACAGTGGATGCAGTGCACCGGGTGTGAACCAAAGCAGGGTGAGGCATTGCCTCACTCAGGAAGTGCAAGGGGTCAGGGACTTCCCTTTCCTAGTCAAAGAAAGGGGCGACAGATGGCACCTGGAAAATCGGGTCACTCCCACCCTAATACTGTGCTTTTCCAATGGGCTTAAAAAACGGTACACCAGGAGATTATATCCCGCACCTTGCTCAGAGGGTCCTACGCCCACGGAGTCTCACTGATTGCTGGCACAGCAGCCTGAGATCAAACTGCAAGGCGGCAGCGAGGCTGGGGGAGGGGCATCCACCATTGTCCAGGCTTGATTAGGTAAACAAAGCAGCCGGGAAGCTCGAACTGGGTGGAGCCCACCACAGCTCAAGGAGGTCTGCCTGCCTCTATAGGCTCCACCTCTGGGGGCAGGGCACAGACAAACAAAAAGACAGCAGTAACCTCTGCAGACTTAAATGTCCCTGTCTGGCAGCTTTGAAGAGAGTAGTAGTTCTCCCAGCACACAGCTGCAGATCTGAGAATGGGCAGACTGTCTCCTCAAGTGGGTCCCTGACCCCTGAGCAGTCTAACAGGGAGGCACACCCCAGTAAGGGCAGACTGACACCTCACATGGCCGGGTACTCCTCAGACACAAAACTTCGAGAGGAACAATCAGGCAGCAGCATTTGCGGATCACCAATATCCACTGTTCTACAGCCACCGCTGTTCTGCAGCCACTGCTGCTGATACCCAGGCAAACAGGGTCTGGAATGGACCTCTTGCAAATTCCAACAGACCTGCAGTTGAGGGTTCTGTCTGTTAGAAGGAAAACTAACAAACAGAAAAGACATCCACACCAAAAACCCATCTGTACGTCACCATCATCAAAGACCAAAAGTAGATAAAACCACAAAGATGGGGGAAGAAAGAGCAGAAAAACTGGAAACTCTAAAAAGCACAGCACCTCTCCTCCTCCTCCAAAGGAACGCAGCTCCTCCCCAGCAATGGAACAAAGCTGGACAGAGAATGACATTGATGAGTTGAGAGAAGAAGGCTTCAGACAATCAAACTACTCCGAGCTGCAGCAGGAAATTCAAACCAATGGCAAAAAAGTGAAAAACTTTGAAAAAAAATTAGACGAATGGATACCTAGAATAATCAATGCAGAGAAGTCCTTAAAGGAGCTGATGGAGCTGAAAGCCAAGGCCCGAGAACTATGTGAAGAATGCAGAAGCCTCAGGAGCTGATGCAAACAACTGGAAGAAAGGGTATGAGTGATGGAAGATGAAATGAATGAAATGAAGTGAGAAGGGAAGTTTAGAGAAAAAAGAATAAAAAGAAATGAAGAAAGCCTCCAACAAATATGAGACTACATGAAAAGACCAAATCAACGTCTGATTGGTTTACCTGAAAGTGACGGGGAGAATGGAACCAAGTTGGAAAACACTCTGCAGTATATTATCCAGGAGAACTTCCCCAATCTAGCAAGGCAGGCCAACATTCAGATTCAGGAAATACAGAGAACGCCACAAAGATACTCCTCAAGAAGACCAACCCCAAGACACATAATTGTCAGATTCGCCAAAGTTGAAATGAAGGAAAAAATGTTAAGGGGAGCCAGAGAGAAAGGTCGGGTTACCCACAAAGGGAAGCCAATCAGACTAACAGCGGATTTCTCAGCAGAAACTCTACAATCCAGAAGAGAATGGGGGCCAGTATTCAACATTCTTAAAGAAAAGAATTTTCAACTCAGAATTTCATATCCAGCCAAACGGTTTCATAAGTGAAGGAGAAATAAAATCCTTTACAGACAAGCAAATGCTGAAAGATTTTGTCACCACCAGGCCTGCCCTAAAACACCTCCTGAAGGAAGCACTGAACATGGAAAGGAACAACTGGTACCAGCCACTGCAAAAACGTGCCAAAATGTAAAGACCATCAAGACTAGGAAGAAACTCCATCAACTAACAAGCAAAATAACCAGCTAACATCATTATGACAGGATCAAATTCACACACAACAATATTAACTTTAAATGTAAATGGGCTAAATGCCCCAGTGAAAAGTCACACACTGGCAAATTGGATAAAGAGTCAAGACCCATCAGTGAGCTGTATTCAGGAAACCCATCTCACATGCACAGACACACACAGGCTCAAAATAAAGGGATGGAGGAAGACCTACCAAGCAAATGGAAAACAAAAAAAGGCAGAGGTTGCAATTCCAGTCTCTGATAAAACAGACTTTAAACAAACAAAGATCAAAAGAGACAAAGAAGGCCATTACATAAAGGTAAAGGGATCAGTTCAACAAGAAGAGCTACCTATCCTAAATATATATGCACCCAATACAGGAGTACCCAGATTCATAAAGCAAGTCCTTAGTGACCTACAAAGAGACTTAGACTCCCACACAATAAAAATGGGAGACTTTAACACCCCACTGTCAACATTAGACAGATCAACGTGACAGAAATTTACAAGGATACCCAGGAATTGAACTCAGCTCTCCACCAAGCAGACGTAATAGACATCTACAGAACTCTGCACCCCAAATCAACAGAATATACATTTTTTTCAGCACCACACCACACCTATTCCAAAATTGACCACATAGTTGGAAGTAAAGCACTCCTCAGCAAATGTAAAAGAACAGAAATTATAACGAACTGTCTCTCAGACCACAGTGCAATCAAACTAGAACTCAGGATTAAGAAACTCCCTCAAAATGGCTCAACTACATGGAAACTGAATAACCTGCTCCTGAATGACTACTGGGTACATAACGAAATCAAGGCAGAAATAAAGATGTTTTTTGAAACCAATGAGAACAAAGACACAACATACCAGAATCTCTGGGACACATTCAAAGCAGTGTGTAGAGGGAAATTTATAGCACTAAATGCCCACAAGAGAAAGCAGGAAAGATTCAAAATTGACACCCTAACATCACAAATAAAAGAACTAGAAAAGCAAGAGCAAACACATTCAAAAGCTAGCAGAAGGCAAGAAATAACTAAAATCAGAGCAGAACTTAAGGAAATAGAGACCCTTCAAAAAATCAATGAATCCAGGAGCTGGTTTTTTGAAAACATCAACAAAATTGATAGACCGCTAGCAAGACCAACAAAGAGGAAAAGAGAGAAGAATCAAATAGATGCAATAAAATTTGATAAAGGGGATATCACCACTGATCCCACAGAAATACAAACTACTATCAGAGAATACAATAAACACCGCTACAAAAATAAACTAGAAAATCTAGAAGAAATGGATAAATTCCTTGACACATACACCCTCCCAATACTAAACCAGGAAGAAGTTGAATCTCTGAATAGACCAATAGCAGGCTCTGAAATTGAGGCAATAATCAATAGCTTAGCAACCAAAAAAAGTCCAGGACCAGATGGATTCGCAGCCAAATTCTACCAGAGGTACAAGGAGGAGCTGGTACCATTCCTTCTGAAACTATTCCAATCAATAGAAAAATAGGGAATCCTCCCTAACTCATTTTTTGAGGCCAGCATCATCCTGATACCAAAGCCTGACAGAGACACAACAAAAAAAGAGATTTTTAGAACAATATCTTGATGAACATTGATGAAAAAATCCTCAATAAAATACTGGTAAACCGAATCCAGCAGCACATCAAAAAGCTTATCCATCATGATCAAGTGGGCTTCATCCCTGGGATGCAAGTCTGGGTCAACATATGCAAATCAATAAATGTAATCTCGCATATAAACAGAACCAAAGACAAAAACCACATGATTATCTCAATAGATGCAGAAAAGGCCTTTGACAAAATTCAACAACCCTTCATGCTAAACACTCTCAATAGATTAGGTATTGATAGGACATATCTCAAAATAATAAGAGCCACATATGACAAACCCACAGCCAGTATCATCCTGAATGGGCAAAAACTGGAAGCATTCCCTTTGAAAACTGGAACAAGACAGTATGCCCTCTCTCACCACTCCTATTAAACATAGTGTTGGACGTTCTGGCACAGGCAATTAGGCAGGAGAAGGAAATAAAGGGTATTCAATTAGGAAAAGAGGAAGTCAAATTGTCCCTGTTTGCAGATGACATGATTGTATATCTAGAAAACCCCATTGTCTCAGCCCAAAATCTCCTTAAGCTGATAAGCAACTTCAGCAAAGTCTCAGGATACAAAATCAATGTGCAAAAATCACAAGCATTCTTATACACTGATAACAGACAGAGAGCCAAATCATGAATGAACTCCCATTCACAATTGCTTCAAAGAGAATAAAATACCTAGGAATCCAACTTACAAGGGACGTGAAGGACCTCTTCAAGGAGAACTACAAACCACTGCTCAAGGAAATGAAAGAGGATACAAACAAATGGAAGAATATTCCATGCTCATGGGTAGGAAGAATCAATATCATGAAAATGGCCATGCTGCCCAAGGTAATTTACAGATTAAATGCCATCCCTATCAAGCTACCAATGACTTTCTTCACAGAATTGGAAAAAACCACTTTAAAGTTCATATGGAACCAAAAAAGAGCCCGCATTGCCAAGTCAATCCTAAGCCAAAAGAACAAAGCCGGAGGCATCACACTACCTGACTTCAAACTATACTACAAGGCTACAGTAACCAAAACAGCATGGTACAGGTACCAAAACAGAGATATAGATCAATGGAACAGAACAGAGCACCCAGAAATAATGCCGCATATCTACAACTATCTGATCTTTGACAAACCTGACAAAAACAAGCAATGGGGAAAGGATTCCCTATTTAATAAATGGTGTTGGGAAAACTGGCTAGCCATATGGAGAAAGCTGAAACTGGATCCCTTCCTTACACCTTATACAAAAATCAATTCAAGATGGATTAAAGACTTAAACATTAGACCTAAAACCATCAAAACCCTAGAAGAAAACCTAGGCATTACCATTGAGGACATAGGCATGGGCAAGGATTTCATGTCTGAAAACACCAAAAGCAATGGCAACAAAAGCCAAAATTGACAAATGGGATCTAATTAAACTAAAGAGCTTCTGCACAGCAAAAGAAACTACCCTCAGAGTGAACAGGCAACTTACAAAATGGGAGAACATTTTTGCAACCTACTCATCTGACAAAGGGCTAGTATCCAGAATCTACAATGAACTCAAACAAATTTACAAGAAAAATCAAACAACCCCATCAAAAAGTGGGTGAAGGATATGAACAGACACTTCTCAAAAGAAGACATTTTTGCAGCCAAAAGACACATGAAAAAATGCTCACCATCACTGGCCATCAGAGAAATGCAAATCAAAACCACAATGAGATACCATCTCACACCAGTTAGAATGGCGATCATTAAAAAGTCAAAAACAACAGGCGCTGGAGAGGATGTGGAGAAATAGGAACACTTTTACACTGTTGGTGGGACTGTAAACTAGTCCAACCATTGTGGAAGTCAGGGTGGCGATTCCTTAGGGATCTAGAACTAGAAATACCATTTGATTCAGCCATCCCATTACTGGGTATATACCCAAAGGACTATAAATCATGCTGCTATAAAGACACATGCACACATATGTTTATTGTGGCACTATTCACAATAGCAAAGACTTGGAACCAACCCAAATGTCCAACAACGATAGACTGGATTAAGAAAATGTGGCACATATACACCATGGAATACTATGCAGCCATAAAAAATGATGAGTTCATGTCCTTTGTAGGGACATGGATGAAACTGGAAGCCATCATTCTCAGCAAACTATCACAAGGAGAAAAAACCAAACACTGCATGTTCTCATTCATAGGTGAGAATTGAACAATGAGAACACAAGGACACAGGAAGGGGAACATCACACACTGGGGACTGTTGTGAGGTGGGGGGAGGGGGGAGGTATAGCATTAGGTGATATACCTAATGCTAAATGATGAGTTAATGGGTGCAACACACCAACATGGCGCATGCATACTTATGTAACAAACCTACACATTGTGCACATGTACCCTAAAACTTAAAGTATAATAAAAAAATTTAAAAAAAACAAAAACAAAACAAAAGAATGTACAGAATCTTAATAATTTCTATATTGAATACATATTGAAATCAAAATATTTAGGATATATTGGGTTAAATAAAATGTACTACTAAAATTAAAAAAAGAAGAAGAAAGAAAAGAAAACAGCCCAAACTTGCTGGTTCCAAAAATAAAACTGGTTTCCCTTTCCAGTCTCTCCAAAGATCTAAAGACTCTCAATGTTAATAATGTCACCTAGCTTCTAATATTAAAGACAATGCCACATGCTTTAAGTGTCTGAAAAAAAAAGTCATATCAAAGTTGTCAATGGAAGATTCTTTGAGAAGACTTCAGAAAGATTTTAAAGTGTGTTTCATAAACCCTACCAATGAAACAAAAATAATTCTAAGACTCCTATGGGAATTATCCCACTTCACACACACAGACTCTCAGCTCAAACCCAAGAAGAGTCAGTTCCAAAGATATTTGTGAGTGTGGCTCTTGTATAATGTTTTAAATGACAATTTAAAAAACACAGAAATATTACAGTGTTTTTAAGGAAATTGCATTGAAGGAAGCACCTTAGCATTTTCTTGTAAACAGTAGTGTCTATTTTTGGTTATTTATTCCTCTCTTCCTCCATTGTATGCTGAGAATGAGAAAGAAAAACCCTGTCTCTAGTTCATAGACCTGAAAATAGAGAACCAATATAAAAGAGCTGTGCATTGGAAATTGTACCCCAAGAGGTTTGTCCACACTCACTCTGGATATAGAATTTGACATCCTGGATGTCAAATTGAGCTCATGATGGGACAAGATGTTAACTGACCTGGGAGCTCCTGAATCCCGCTTTCCCAATCTAGGATCCCTGAATTGCCATTACAAGTCTAACAAACTCGCTGGAAAGGCTTTACCTACATAACCCTGTAACTACATGAAAATGTACACTCTTATTCTATCTAGAGTTAATATTTACACCAGAGGTTTTCTATAGCATTTTTCATCTCTCAGTTTCTCAATGTGTATATTAATGGATTCAACATGGGTGTGATAACTGTATAAAACACAGTAATTAATTTATTAATAGGAAAGTTTGAAACAGGTCTAACATACATGAAACTACAGGGAACAAAAAACAGGACAGTCACGGTAATGTGGGAGCTGCAGGTAGACAGGGCTTTATGCCTCCCTTCCTGACTATAAGTTTTAAGGGAGATTAGGATGACCCCATAGGAGATTAGTAGAAGGATGAACACGACCATACAGATTCCTCCACCATTGGCAACCTCAGTGAGGCCTATAAAGTAGGTGTCAGTGTGTGCCAGTTCCAATAATGGGTACATGTCACAGAAAAAGTGGTCAATGATATTGGGACCACAGAAAAGGAGACTGTACGCAACTAAAATTTGAAACACAGAATGCACAAAACCTGCAGTGACAGCCACCACCAACAGAAGGATGCAAACCTGTCAATTCATGATGGTGAAATAGTGCAGTGGCTTACAGATGGCTACATAGCGATTATAGGCCATCACCAACAGAAGGAAGACCTCAGCACCGCCAACTAAGTGGTCTATAAAATGGCTGACCCATGCAAGCTTGGAAGGAAACAGTCTTTTTATCATGGAGATAGCCTACAATCAATTTGGGAGAAATGGTGGTGGAATACACAGCATCTATAAATGACAAGCAGGCAAGGAAGAAGTACACTGGGGAGCCTAAGGTGGGGTTGGCAATAATAGTCACCACAATGAGCAGGTTCCCCACCATAGTCATAAAGTATGTGAGTAAACCGTATGACAAATAATGCATTTTACACATCAGGATCCTGAGTAAGGCCTAGGAGGACAAATGCTGTAACATTGATACTCAGTCTCATTTTCTATTCTCTGAGGCTTGTATCAGAGTAAAGAGCTCAGGAGAACAGGACCTGTAACGAAATACTGAACAGGAATATGAATACATCCATGATGTCACAGAGCACATCTTCATCATTGTATCTTCAATAGTGACTTACACACATGATAAACATTTTGTAAGTCTCTATTGAGTTCCTCATCTCCTCAAAGGTTTTCATTTCAGCCTACAGGTAACAGCTTCTGCCTCTCAGTTTTAGTGAATATTCTGTACAGAAGAAGAGTTAAAGTCCCAACAGCCATTCATATATTTCATAGCTCCTTATTTAAAATATATTTCTTGGCACAGAAGTCAGCTATGATGAATAGGCAACAGATTATTGGTGTCAATAATGTTACTTTCTCATGGTGGTAATAGACTCTAAATAAATAAATTCGTGTATATTCAGTGCTTTGAGTTTGTAGTTGTAGTATCTTTATGATCTGTGTAGCATCAAAAGTAATATCTTCTGAAATATCTCACTCAGTACTGTGGCCTTCCACAGTTACACATTCAGTCCTTCATGCCTTGAAAGATGTTCAGTCTTTATGAATACCTCATTAAATGTCAAGAGACTGGACATTAACCTGAATAAATAGTAAAATATTATTTATCACATTATTCCCTGCAGCAATTACTTGGTCTGACCCTCTGTTGCCTTATAAGGAGCTGCACATCTCTGCATCTTATTCATGCCTATTCCACAATTTTTTAATCATATTTACATACAGTATCCTGATTTTCACCAACAAATTTTGAACTCAAGAAAACTAACTGATGGCTATCACCAACTGCCACGTTAGATGTGAGTTTTTTTTCTGATTTCTTAGGGTGAACTACATAGTGAGAGAGGAGAAAACAGACACCTTACAAAAAGGTACAGAACAGAGGACACTGTTTTATTTTTAACACTATTTAGATACTGAGAGTATTCAAAAATAGAATCTTAGTGTCCTGATTCCAAAAAAGCATACTCAAAGAGAAATTCCAAGTTCACTGTAAGATGACATCAATTTGAGTCATTTTCTGAATGAATTTACATGTCTGTCTCAGTTTGCTCACTGGAAAACAATGTGATTGAATTAGATGAACTGAGAATCCTTTCCAGTCAACCACCTACAAAACCATTAGTGCACCCCTCCCTTATTATATTCTGCTGACTTTTTCATTTTTCATATATTTATAATTAAATAGCAATTTCCAAGCTCATAACTGTTACATGAATAACGGTAGTCAGTGGTAGATGTTTCATGATTACAGTGAGTAAATTATGACTACAAGTTTCCTACTCAATATGTGCCTATTTAAGATCCAAGAAATCCTTGGAAAGAAAGTGTAGCATGTGGTGAATAATGGGGACAAAGGAGCCACACTGCCTCAGCTACAAGCCCAGTTTCACCACTTACTATATGATTTTGGGCCACTTACTAAACTGCTCTATGTCTCATTTTCATTTGAAACCTCTAGAGTTCTTTTATTACAACAAAGTAAAGTTTCCTAGAACACTGGCTGGCACCTGGTAAAGGCCCAGTAAAAGACAGCTAATACTTGTGTTCCTGAATGCTTCACTGTGAACACTGGATCAAAACAAATCATGCTGCTATAAAGACACATACACACGTATGTTTATTGTGGCACTATTCACTATAGCAAAGATTTGGAACCAACCCAAATGTCCAACAATGATAGACTGGATTAAAAAAAATGTGGCACATATACACCATTGAATACTATGCAGCCATAAAAAATGATGAGTTCATGTCTTTTGTAGGGACATGGATGAAACTGGAAGCCATCATTCTCAGCAAACTATCGCAAGGACAAAAAACCAAACACTGCATGTTCTCACTCATAGGTGGGAATTGAACAATGAGAACACACGGACACAGGAAGGGGAACATCACACAGTGGGGCCTGTTGTGGGGTGGGGGGAGGGGGGAAGGATAGCATTAGGAGATATACCTAATGTTGAATGACAAGTTAATGGGTGTGGCACACCAACATGGCACATGTATACATATGTAACAAACCTGCACGTTGTGCACATGTACCCTAAAACTTAAAGTATAATTAAAAAAAACAAATCATCTGCATCTTTGTCAATTTGAAAAGATTTATAGACACAGTCCAGAGGAAAAAAAAATAGAAGACACATATAATTCAGGAAAAGCTTTTGGGGACACAATATAATTTTATCTCTTGTATGTCTTAGGTATTATCCATTTAATTATGTATGAGTAGTGATTTTATCTGTGGTGGAAAGTATCTTGACAATATCAGGCAGAATTATAGTAGAAAAGTTGGACCCATCATCAGACAGAGAGCTAAATGGTTAAAAAAAAATGAAAGAAAAAGGGATCAAATCAGAAAAGAGTAATTACAATAAATAACTTAATGTCCATGGGTAATAAGAAGATAAAGATTAATGTGATAACTGAGTCTAGTATTCTTCTAAAAATCTTCAGAGAGTGAGGAAATACTGGAAGCACAACCCGCTGTGGTCCCTGAGGAGACTCAGGAGGCTTCTTGGGGTAGCCAAACAAACACAGAGCAAATCCTAATAAACAACAAAAAGAAAAGAAAAGAAAACTCAGAAGAAAAACAAAACACATTGATTTATCAAAATCTCTCCATCTGATGGTTAAAGACAAACTTAAATTATAGAGAACAATGGGACAAGTTGAGATAAAAACCCAGACTTTGTGATTATTCACTGCTGAGGAAAACTGCAGAATTACTAAACCTCAAATGTAGACAGGATGATTCCATTTATATAAATCTGGCAGTGGAAGAGGACGTATGCAGAGACAGTCTGAGCTGTCTCTAGAAGCCAGCTGTGATGCACTTTCCACATGTCTCATTCATGTTACCACTTACAGCTGATAAAGAGTTCTGGCACTGTTGAAGCTATAGACTTATAGAGATGCACGTGCTGGAGAACACAAGAGAATAATGTAGCCTATAGCCAATTCCGTTATTTTTTTTACATCTTGCTTGCTGCAAAGTTTAGTGTGTTTTCCCCCTTTCATCATCAAAACTACATTCAACAAGAAAATTCTATTTGGGAATTTAAATGTTTACTTGTAAAACTAGGGTATAAAATTATCCTTTATAGTTTAAATAATTAAAAACATAATACTTTAAAAGCTGAAACATAGCATTACTAGGCTTTCAATGTAAACTGCTGTTAACAATTTTCTAGAAAAAAATGATTTAATATAGTTTCCTAAGTTCATGTCATTTTCAAAAGATAAAATTCTATAATAACACAAAAACATCTATAATAGTATGTTTCACAGTCACTGTTTTATAAATCTATTTAAATGACAGCTGACTAGGTACCTTCCTGACCGTACGTATCTATTAGTATGTTTGCTGAAATAATTTTTAGATTCATAAGTAAAATCCTGTATCATGTTTCCAGAACATAACAGGCATTTGTTCATTTACACTTCAACAAACTTGACATGATCCAGAATTTTAAATTCTCTAATCAATTATATCTGAAAGTAATTGTACACATTTATTAATATATCATATAAAATATAATATCCCAAACACTAAGATTACACATCTATTGATTCATTTATTATTAAGTGTAATATGGAACATGTTTTTCTTCTTATTTGACAAATGGAAAAAGACAATTAGGCTGTATATTAAAACCAAATATACATTGTATATGCTGATAAATTTCCATGTGTGCTAGCTTAATTTTTCCAATTAGAATTTATCAAATAAAACCATTGGTTTTTAAGATATTAGCTACATTTCAACATATCACAGGAATTTTTAATGAATTATCTCTTGTCAATGGTTTCAAATACTCACATCTTGGTCCAGAAAAGCAATGCTTCTTTCACTGAGGATTGCCATAGATACCTCATGCCTCTATGTGTCCTCATAAAACACAGGAATATACATGGCTGATCCATGGATATAGAACTAGTTCCTAGTGGCTACAGTTTCCACAGTTCCACACAGGCTTCTCATTATCTTAGTCTTTAGAGAAGTATAGCACTATCCAAAGCAGATGACCAAACTATAATAATGCTTTAAGATAACGACAATATTTACTGTGAAAGGTAATTGAATATTCTCACCTGCTGGAAAATGCCTTCGAAGAAAAACAGAGACCGTCTCTGCTTGACTATGTAAAAGTGGAACTAATTAGTGGAAATTAACCTGGAAAACACCCTTATTATATGACACAAGTAGCAACACTTAAATTTGTTACTTGAATATTTTCTCAATTATGGTGAAGCAACCATAAGTACTTTACTGTGATTGAGGATTTATAACATTCATGTGCCCAGCTATTAAGCTTGGTACCTAACAAGGACAATGCTGAGATTTAACTTCATGGAGAATCCAGTGACAGAGCTTTCCCACAGGCAGAAGCCAAACTCTTCAGTCTTTCAGTCTTTCAACTAGCATATCCCTAAGACCAATTCTTTCCTAAGTAAAAGCATGTCCTTATATCTCCCCAATCTCATCCCAGGAAATTGAGAACTTTCACTCATTTTTATAAGCAATGGTAGACATTTCAAGAAAATATTACACCTAGAGGACGAGATACCAACTGAAGACATACGCTACCTTGGGCAGAAATTTAACTTTTTTGATATCTCCTGGGCTGCTCTATCAGAAAAATAATTCTTCCATTTGTGTCTGTAGACACAGTCTATAACCTTTACATCAACAATATTTTAGAAAGAGAGAGTAACTTCACTATAGATTAGTTAATTAGAATATTTGGAACAACTTCAAATGAAAGAACCTCTCTGTATAATTTTTTCTTACAAAATCCCTAGAGGAAAAAGATTTGGTTCTTGCTAAGGAAGAGTAGGTAAATGACAAGTAATGTGAAATGCCTACAATATGAAAAGAATAATTTTAAAGTGAATTGAATAATAAGTTATGAGATGCATGTTATGAAATATTTAGGTAAGGCAAGTAATATTTCAGCCAGAATTAAAGGAGAACCAGCTCCAGGTTCTCTTTGCTAAAAATGCTCCCAGTAAGTAGGGCCTTACCCTTCCTGTTAGAAAGTCTGTGCCCAAGAAGCCCTGAGGCTCAGAGGCAGAGAGCCTAAGAACGGAAGTTGACATTCTGATTCATGGAAAAATAGGTAATCATAGTGCTGCAGTTTTAGTTAGAGTACAGGCTTTTGAGGCTTTTGATCAAGACCTGTATCTAAGTCAGATATAACCATAATGATCAGTAGTCCATTGATACGGTGTGGCTGTGTCCCCACCCAAATCTCAACTTGAATTGTATCTTCCTCATTTTTCTCTTGCCACTGCCATGTAAGAAGTGACTTGCACCTCCCAACATGACTCTGAGGCCTTTCAAGCCCTGTGGAACTGTAAGTCTAATTAAACCTCTATTTCTTCCCAGTCTTGGGCATGTCATTATCAGCAGTGTGAAAACGGACTAATACATCCATTAACTCAATATTTTAATTATATTCTAATATCAATCCAATAACTGTTTCTACAATAAAGAAATTTTTATTTCCAACAAGGAAGAAGTATTTAAGGGCTTCCACTGTTATTTCCATGACTTGGCTTACCATTGGATCTATTGAACACCTTCATCTCATCATACGTTGAGCTAAATGTTTGATCTTTGTGTCATAAGAGTCTTAAAGAGTCCCATAAATACCTATCTGAGATAGCTAAAGTCTTTATCACATAACAGGCTACACTAAAAGTTAGTCATTTTCAACTTAGCTAGTAAATGGATTAAACACATCACCCCAAATGTAATATGTATTACTGCTAAAATTCAAAGAGCACGTCTATATGTGCTGTGCTGTCTTACTGGTAAGTGCTAAAACATGCACACAAATATTTTTAATTCTGAAGAACTATCAGATATGATCAAGCATACTGTGGTCTAAATTATAATTCCAAGATGAAGAACTAACATAAAAATAGGACCTATATCCCAATACCAGAGTGGAAGTGGATCCTTCCTCAGCTAAGCTTTCATATGAGATGGTAGCCCCAACCATCATCTTGATTACAGTTTTTGTGAGAGACCTTGAAGCATGGGAACCTAAGCCATCCTTAGTATCCTGACCTACAGAAATTGAGAATGAGTACATATTGTTTGAATCACTAAATTTTGAAATAATTTCCTTTGTATAAATAAATAACTCATAAATATATCTAGAGTATGCTTCAAATATTAGGAAGCATGCCAATAAATATTTAGTGAACCTATGAATCAAAGAAAAAAGTATAATGTAAATAAGCAAATATTTAGAACTCAGCAATAACAAAAACATCAAAATGTTTGAGGTGTGATCAAAACAGTACTTAAAGTAACATGTATAGCTATAAAAGCTTACATTTAAAATAAATATTTACAAGCAGGCATCTGAGCCTTCACCTTAAGAAGCTAGAACAAGAACAGTAAATAAAAGCCAAGGTAAGTAAATGAAAGGACATAAATATAAGATCAAAAGCAATAAAATGGAAAACATAAAATAGAGAAAATGAAAATAGCCACAAGTTGGTACTTTCATAATGAAATTGATAAATTGCCAGGAAGAGTTATCAAAGGAAAGACAAATTCAAATTACCAATACCAGGAATCATAAAACAAATAATCACCCCATAGATTCTTTAGACTTAAAAGGTTAGAAAAGGATTGTTCTGAAATACATTATTTCAATTAGTTTGACAGCTTAGATGAATTAGGTAAAATGTAGGGAAAGAACAATCTTCCAAACATGACACAAAAAGAAACTGAAACACCCCATCTCTTTCCAAGTAATGAGCTATACTTACTTGCAGATAACATGATAGTGTTAGAGAAAACCCTAAAGAATAACTTTGTAGGAATAAGAAGTAAATTTACAAGTTTATAGGACTAAAATGTCAAATAAAAACTTCAATTTCCTTTACATACATACTAGCAACAATGACAAATGGATTTTTTAATTAAAAATCTGTGATGAAATCTGAAAACATAAATACTTATGAATAGATAAGGAAGATCCCTACATGAATAACAACTGCAAAACTCTTCAAAAATAAACATTTTAAATACCTAACAGATATACTGTATTCAGGAATTAGAAAACCCAATGTTGCTCAGATATTGTTAGTTCAAGATGATTTATGGATCTAACTTAAAATGAATAAAACTACAATATGCTCTTTTTGAGATGTGGACGATTTTCCTGCATGCTGATCTGCAAGGTGACTTTGAAACTTCCGCATCAAAGGTTATCTACTATTTCTGTAAAACCTCAAATCTGGGTGGTCATGTGATCACTACGACAAATAGAATATGATGCAAGTGACATTGTGTCAGTTCCGGACACAGCCCTTAGCTGGCTGGACCCATCCACTTTCTACCACTGGGATCTCTGAGCACGATGTAAAAACCTAGACTATTCTCTGGAGTGATCTTGTGTTCCTTCATCTAAAGGGATAGGAAGAGGACCCAATGCATCTCTTAATGTCATCCCTTACAATATGCTTTAAATGTGCATTAAGTTATCCGGCGTTTACATAAAACTCAATTATCAGCTGAATAAGACAGTGACTTCAGTCCTTGCCACACAAAACAGAAGAAACACCCAGCCAACAACTGCCTGAATTCCTGACTCACAAAATTTTGAGATAAAATAAAATGAAGGTTGTTTGAAATCATAAAAACTGTGGAGCTCTGCACCATACAAGAAGACAGGAGAATAATAAAAAGTGGCACCTTGGCCGGGCGCGGTGGCTCACGCCTGTAATCCCAGCACTTTGGGAGGCCGAGGCGGGCGGATCACGAGGTCAGGAGATCGAGACCATCCCGACTAAAACGGTGAAACCCCGTTTCTACTAAAAATACAAAAAATTAGCCGGGCGTAGTGGCGGGCGCCTGTAGTCCCAGCTACTTGGGAGGCTGAGGCAGGAGAATGGCCTGAACCCCAGAGGCGGAGCTTGCAGTGAGCCGAGATCCCGCCACTGCACTCCAGCCTGGGCGACAGAGCGAGACTCCGTCTCAAAAAAAAAAAAAAAAAAAAAAAAAAAGTGGCACCTTAAAGTGTGGTGTTTCCCCCATCTCACGTGCAGAGACACACATAGGCTCAAAATGAAAGGATGGAGGAAGATCTACCAAGCAAATGAAAAACAAAAAAAGGCAGGGGTTGCAATCCCAGTCTCTGATAAAACAGATTTTAAACCAACAAATATCATAAGAGACAAAGAAGGCCATTAAATAATGGTAAAGGGATCAATTCAACAAGAAGAGCTAACTATCCTAAATATATATGCACCCAATACAGGAGCACCCAGATTTATAAAGCAAGTCCTGAGTGACCTACAAAGAGACTTAGACTCCCACACATTAATAATGGGAGACTTTAACACCCGCTGTCAACATTAGACAGATCAACGAGACAGAAAGTCAAAAAGGATACCCAGGAATTGAACTCAGCTTTGCACCAAGCAGACCTAATAGACATCTACAGAACTCTCCACCCCAAATCAACAGAATATACATTTTTTTCAGCACCACACCACACCTATTCCAAAATTGACCACATAGTTGGAAGTAAAGCTCTCCTCAGCAAATGTAAAAGAACAGAAATTATAACAAACTATCTCTCAGACCACAGTGCAATCAAACTAGAACTCAGCATTAAGAATCTCACTCAAAACCGCTCAACTACATGTAAACTGAACAACCTGCTTCTGAATGACTACTGGGTACATAACTAAATGAAGGCAGAAATAAAGATGTTCTTTGAAACCAACGAGAACAAAGACACCCTAACATCACAATTAAAGGAACTAGAAAAGCAAGAGCAAACACATTCAAAAGCTAGCAGAAGGCAAGAAATAACTAAAATCAGAGCAGAACTGAAGTAAATAGAGACACAAAAAAACCTTCAAAAAATTAATGAATCCAGGAGCTGGTTTTTTGAAAGGATCAACAAAATTGATAGACTGCTAGCAAGACTAATAAAGAAAAAAAGAGAGAAGAATCAAATAGACGCAATAAAAAATGATAAAGGGGATATCACCACTGATCCTACAGAAATACAAACTACCATCAGAGAATACTACAAACACCTCTACGCAAATAAACTAGAAAATCTAGAAGAAATGGATAAATTTCTGGACACATACACTCTCCCAAGACTAAACCAGGAAGAAGTTGAATCTCTGAATAGACCAATAACACGATCTGAAATTGTGGCAATGATCAATAGCGTACCAACCAAAAAGAGTCCAGGACCAGATGGATACACAGCCGAATTCTACCAGAGGTACAAGGAGGAACTTGTACCATTCCTTCGGAAACTATTCCAATCAATAGAAAAAGAGGGAATCCTCCCTAACTCATTTTATGAGGCCAGCATCATCCTGATACCAAAGCCGGGCAGAGACACAACCAAAAAAGAGAATTTTAGACCAATATCTTTGATGAACATTGATGCAAAAATCCTCAATAAAATACTGGCAAACCGAATCCAGCAGCACATCAAAAAGCTTATCCACCATGATCAAGTGGGCTTCATCCCTGGGATGCAAGGCTTCTTCAATATATGCAAATCAATAAATGTAATCCAGCATATAAACAGAACCAAAGACAAAAACCACATGATTATCTCAATAGATGCAGAAAAGGCCTTTGACAAAATTCAACAACCTTCATGCTAAAAACTCTCCATAAATTAGGTATTGATGGAACGTATTTCAAAATAATAAGGACTATCTATGACAAAACCACAGCCAATATCATAATGAATGGGCAAAAACTGGAAGCATTCCCTTTGAAAACTGGCACAAGACAGGGATGCCCTCTCTCACCACTCCTATTCAACATAGTGTTGGAAGTTCTGGCCAGGGCAATTAGGCAGGAGAAGGAAATAAAGGGTATTCAATTAGGAAAACAGGAAGTCAAATTGTCCCTGTTTGCAGATGACATGATTGTATATCTAGAAAACCCCATTGCCTCAGCCCAAAATCTCCTTAAGCTGATAAGCAACTTCAGCAAAGTCTCAGGATACAAAATCAATGTACAAAAATCACAAGCATTCTTGTACACCAACAACAGACAAACAGAGAGCCAAATCATGAGAGAACTCCCATTCATAATTGCTTCAAAGAGAATAAAATACCTAGGAATCCAACTCACAAGGGATGTGAAGGACCTCTTCAAGGAGAACTACAAACCACTGCTCAATGAAATAAAAGAGTATACAAACAAATGGAATAACATTCCATGCTCATGGGTAGGAAGAATCAATATCATGAAAATGGCCATACTGACCAAGGTAATTTACAGATTCAATGCCATCCCCATCAAGCTACCAATGACTTTCTTCACAGAATTGGAAAAAACTACTTTAAAGTTCATATGGAACCAAAAAAGAGCCCTCATCGCCAAGTCAATCCTAAGCCAAAAGAACAAAGCTGGAGGCATCACACTACCAGTCTTCAAACTATGCCACAAGGCTACAGTAACCAAAACAGCATGGTACTGGTACCAAAACAGAGATATAGATCAATGGAACAGAACAGAGCCCTCAGAAATAATGCCGCATATCTACAACTATCTGATCTTTGACAAACCTGAGAAAAACAAGCAATGGGGAAAGGATTCCCTATTTAATAAATGGTGCTGGGAAAACTGGCTAGCTATATGCAGAAAGCTGAAACTGGATCCCTTCCTTACACCTTATACAAAAATCAATTCAAGATGGATTAAAGACTTAAACATTAGACCTAAAACCATCAAAACCCTAGAAGAAAACCTAGGCATTACCATTCAGGACATAGGCATGGGCAAGGACTTCATGTCTAAAACACCAAAAGCAATGGCAACAAAAGCCAAAATTGACAAATGGAATCTAATTAAACTAAAGAGCTTCTGCACAGCAAAAAAAACTACCCTCAGAATGAACAGGCAACCTACAAAATGGGAGAAAATTTTCACAACCTACTCATCGGACAAAGGGCTAATATCCAGAATCTACAATGAACTCAAACAAATTTACAAGAAAAAAAACAACCCCATCAAAAAGTGGGCGAAGGACATGAATAGACACTTCTCAAAAGAAGACATTTATGCAGCCAAAAAACACATGAAAAAATGCTCACCATCACTGGCCATCAGAGAAATGCTAATCAAAACCACAATGAGATACCATCTCACACCAGTTAGAATGGCGATCATTAAAAAGTCAGGAAACAACAGGTGCTAGAGAGGATGTGGAGAAATAGGAACACTTTTACACTGTTGGTGGGACTGTAAACTAGTTCAACCATTGTGGAAGTCAGTGTGGCGATTCCTCAGGGATCTAGAACTAGAAATACCATTTGACCCAGCCATCCCATTACTGATTATATACCCAAAGGACTATAAATCATGCTGCTATAAAGACACATGCACACATATGTTTATTGCAGCATTATTCACAATAGCAAAGACTTGGAACGAACCCAAATGTCCAATAATGATAGACTGGATTAAGGAAATGTGGCACATATACACCATGGAATACTATGCAGCCAGAAAAAATGATGAGTTCATGTCCTTTGTAGGGACATGGATGAAATTGGAAATCATCATTCTCAGTAAACTATCACAAGAACAAAAAACCAAACACCGCATATTCTCACTCATAGTTGGGAATTGAACAATGAGATCACATGGACACAGGGAGGGGAATATCACACTCTGGGGACTGTTGTGGGGTGGGGGAAGGGGGGAGGGATAGCATTGGGAGATATACCTAATGCTAGATGATGAGTTAGTGGGTGCAGTGCACCAGCATGGCACATGTATACATATGTAACTAACCTGCACATTGTGCCCATGTACCCTAAAACTTAAAGTATAATAATAATAAATAAATAAATTTTTTTTAAAAAGTGTGGTGTTTCCATAACAGCAATTTAAAGTGTTTGGCACTGGCTGTAGTATATAAAACCAAGGGCCTCCATGATATTGTAAGTAAAGGCTGAAAATACACATAACTGTTTAGTAATTCTGTCACCTATAAGAAGGTAGAAAATAAAAAATGTATTTAAATGAATAGGTGGATACAACTAAAATTTCCTAATAGAATATTGAAAGTTACAGCTGTTTATTATAGCATTGTATGTTATAATAAGTCAGATTTTTAAAATAATATTACTTAAAAGATTAACTGTTACATTTTCAGACAGAATTTACAAGAAACATAAAAGAGTCAGAACTTGTGGGTGTCAAAGATGAAAATGGTTTCCCTTTCCAGTCTCTGCAAAGAGCTAAGTACTCTAAAAGTAAGAGGGGTCATCCAAATAAAAGTCATTCCGAACTTGTGGATGTAAAGACACTATGAATAGACTTCAGACAAATTTAATGGTGGGTCACGTAAGTACCTTAAACTAGGCAAACATAATTCCAAGGTTCTTAAGAGTATTATCTGACTGCACATAGAGTTTCAGCTCAAGTCTGAGAAGGGGCAGTTTCAAAGATATTTGTGAATATGGTGCTTGTATATTCCACAAAGTCTTTAAATAAATTACACAGAAGGAAGCACCATAGCCTTCCCTTTTGAACAGGAGCATCTATTTTAATTACCTATTCCTTCCCTTCTCCACTCTGTGCTGGGAATACAGGAGAAATGTCCTGTCTCAGTAGATGTGTAATAGAGAAAATACATAATTTAAAACGTACACAATAGGACCTGCACCCAAGCAGCCCCATCTGCTCTCAGTTCTGGATATAGACGTTGAGATCTTGAACTTCAAACAGATGCCATGATGGGATGACTTCTTAATTGAGCTTGGAGCATCTAAATCCTGTCTTCCTACTTTGGTATCACAAGAGTTTTTCTATAGCATTTCTCATCTCTGAATTTCTCAACGTGTATATAAAAGGATTCAACATGGGTGTGATAACTGAATAAAACACAGTCAGGAATTTATCAATAGGAAAGTTTGAAACGGGTCTAACATATATGAAAATACAGGGAACAAAAAACAAGATAACCATGGCAATGTGGGAGCTGCAGGTAGACAGAGCTTTATGCCTCCCTTCCTGACTATAAGTTTTAAGGGAGTTTAGGATGACCCCATAGGAGATTAGTAGAAGGGTGAAGATGACCATACAGATTGCTCCACCATTGAAAACAACAGCAAGGCCTATAAAGTAGGTGTCAATGCACCCCAGTTCCAATAAAGGGTATAAGTCACAGAAAAAGTGGTCAATGACATTGGGGCCACAGAAAGGGAGACTGTACACAACTAAAATTTGAAACACAGAATACAGAAAACCTCCAGTCACAGCCACCACCAACAGAAGGATGTAAACCTGTCAATTCATGATGGTCAAATAGTGCAGTGGCTTACAGATGGCCATGTGGCAATCATAGGCCATCACCACCAGAAGGAAGACGTCAGTACCACCTAACAAGTGGTCTATAAATAGCTGACCCATGCAAGCTGGGAAGGAAATAGTCTTTTTATCACAGAGTAAGTATACAATCAATAAGGGAGGAATGGTGGTGGAATACACAGCATCTATAAATGACGGGCAGGCAAGGAAGAAGTACATTGGGGAGCCCAAAGAGGGACTGGCAATAATAGTCACCACAATGAGCAGGTTCCCCACCATAGTCACAATGTATATGAGTAAAAACATGACAAATAATGCATTTTGCACATCAGGATCCTGGAGAAGCCCAGGAGGACAATTTCTGTAATATTGTTATTCTGTCTCATTTACTCTTCTTTCAGGCTTGTATCAGAGGTGAGAGCTCAGGAGAACAAGACCTGTAATGAAATAGTGAACGGGAACATGATTACATCCATTGTGTCACAGAGCATATTTTCATTGTTGTATCCTCAATAGTGATTTACACACAATAAACATGCAGTAAGTCTCTATTGTGTTTCTCATCCAGAGTCCATCTTCCCTTGACAATTCTATTTCTCCACAAAGATTTTCATTTCTGCGACAGGTAAAGGCTTCTACCTCTAAGTTTTAGTGAATATTCTATACAGAAGAAGTGTTAAAGTCCCAAAAGCCATTCATACATTTTATAACTTCTTATTTAAAACATTTTTCTTGGCACAGAATTCAGCTATGATGAATAGGCGACAGGTTCTTGGTCTCAAATGACTTACTCTCTGATGGTGGTAACAAATTCTAAATAAATAATTGACATAGATATAGTCCTTTGTGTTTGTATGTGTGGTATCTTTATAATATGATCTGTGCAGCACCAAGAATAACATCTTCTGAAATATGTCACTCAGTACTCTGGCCTTCTACTATTAGACCTTCATTCCTTCATGCCTCAAAGTATGTTCAGTCTTTATTTGTCTTTCATTAAATGTCAGAAGACATGACTCTGAAATGTATAAATAGCTATATTATTTATCACATTGTTCCCTGTAGTGATTACTTGGTCTGACTCCTTGTCCAACTTATAAGGAGCTGTGATTCTCTCCATTTTATCCTTGCCTATACCCCAATTTTTTCAACACTTACATACAATATCTTAATTTTAATTAATTTGAACTCAAGTGAACTAACTCATGACTATCACCAAATATGCCATGTTTATTTTTTAATGAATTCTTGAGATGAGCTAGGTAGTGAGAGAGGAGAAAATAGACACTATAGAAAGAGGTACAGAACAGTAGGACATGGTTTTATTCATAACACTATTTAGATACCAAAAGAACTCAAAAATAGAATCTTAGCTACCAGATTCCAAGAAGAAGCATACTCTAAGAGAAATTCCAAATTCCATGTAAGAAGACAAGGATTTGAGTCACTTTTTGAATGCAATTACAAGTCTGTCTCAGTTTACTCACTGGAAAACAATGGGATTAAATTTGAGAAATTCAGAATCCTTTCTAGTGAACTATCTACAGAACTATTAGTGCATCTCTCGTTTATGGTATTCTGCTGACAATTTTCTTTTTTTATAAATATATAATTAAATAAAAATTTTCCAAGCTCATGACTGTTACATGAAAAATGGTAGTCTGCGGGACAATGGGTTTTATTATTACAGTGAGTAGTGACTCTAAGCTTCTCACTGAGTATGCACCTATTTAAGATCCAAGACATCCTCAAAGGGAAAGTGTAGCATGTTGTGAATAATGTGGACACTGGAGCCACATTTCTTCAGCTACAACCTCATGTTCACCATTTTTTATGAGACTTTGGGCCATTTACTAAAGCTCTCTGACCCTTACTTTCATCATTTGTAGAATGGGGATCCCAATAGTCATTAATTCTTAATTGCTTAATTTTCAGCAATTAATTTTGAACTCAAGTGAACTGTTGATTTATAAAAGAAAGTAAAGTGCCTAGAACACTGGCTGGCACCTAGTAAGGACTCAATAAATTACAGTTATTATCAATGTTCTTGAATGCTTCACTTTGAAGATAGAACAAATCATGTGAATCTTTGTCAACTTGAAAAGATTTATAGACATAGTCTAGGTTAAAAAGAATTAAACACTTATAATTCAGGAAAACCTTTTGGGGCACACAATAAAATTGTATGTCTTAGGAATTACGTATTTAATTATGTAGGAGTAGTGATCTTACCTGTAATGAAATGTACCTTAATGAGAAGCAAGCAGAATTGTAGTTAAAAAAAAAGTTGAACTGATCATCGGCAGGAGAGCTAAATGGTAGAAAATGAAAGAAAAAGGGGTCAAATCAGAAAAAAAGAGAAATTATAGTAAATACATTAATATTCACAGGAAATAAGATGATTAATTTCATAATTAAGTGAGACAAATTAGCTAGGCATGGTGGTACACACCTGCTATCCCAGCTACTCAAGATGCTGAGACATGAGAATCACTTGAACCCAGGAGGCAGAGGTTGCAGTGAGCCAGGATCATGCTACTGTACTGCAGCTTGGGTGACCGAGTGAGACTATCTCAAAAAAAAAAAAAAAGTGAGGCTAGTTTTCTGCTAAAAATTTTCTTCAGAAAAATTTATTTTAGTGAGGAAATACTGGAAGCACAACCTCCTGTGGGTCCCTGCGTGACTCAGGAGGCTTTGGTAATAGCCATAACAAATAGACATTGACCAGATCCCAGTTAAAAAAAAAAAAAGAAAAGAAAAGACAATTCAAAAAGAAAAATAAAAACAACATTGATCTCTTAGCGTTTCTAGATCTGACAGTTAAGGACAAACTTAAAGAAAAAAAAATGGGACAAGTAGAGATACAAACCCAAACTTTGTGATATTCACTGCTGAGGAAAACTACAGAATTACTAAATCTCAAACGTAGACAAGATGATTCCATTTACATAGATCTGACAGTGAAGGAGGATGTGTGCAGAGAGAGTTTGAGTTTCCTTAGAAGCCATTTGTGATAAACGTTCCACATGTCTCATTCACATTACCACTTCCAGCTTATTCTAGAGTTCTGTCACTGCTGAAGTTACAGACTAACAAACGCACATCTGTTGAAGAACACAAGGGTATAATAAAACCTATAGCCCATTCTCTTTTTTTCACAACTTACTTGCTGCAAGATTTAGTTCCTTTTCTCTCTTTAATCATCACTGATAAATTTCACCAGGATAAATCTTCTCTTGGGCAGTTTAGATGTTTACTTGTAAAAACCAGGATATGTAAACTATCCTCTTTAGCTTAAGTCATCAAAGATTTAATACTTTAAAAACTGAAAGATAATATTACTTGGCACTCAACAAAAATAACTAAGTTAACACTTTTCTAGACAAAAAAAACTTAACACAGCTTCCGAAGAACGTGACTTTTTCAAATGATAAAATCCCATAGTAATAAAAACAATCCCTTATAGATAAAATTTATAAAACAATATGGTTTTGTAAATCTCTCTAAAGAATAGTACTCAATACTTTCCTGAACTTGTATATGCTGAGATAATTTTTAGATTCACACATAAAAGACCATATCATGCTTCCAGAACATATTAGGCATTGATTTCTTTACACTCTAACACATTTGATATAGTCTGTAATTTTAAATTTTCCAATCAAATATATCTAAAAATAATTCTATACCTATGTTAATGTATCACATAATAAAATATTCTACATAATAGATTATAAATCTATTGGTTTACTTATTTTATGTGTAACATGGAACATGTTTCTCCTGTTACTTGGCAAATTAGAAAATAAACACTTATAAGGCTATATATGAAAACCAAATATACTTGTATACTCTGATTAATGTCTGTGTTTTGCTTCCTTAATTTTCCCAATTAAGATTCCTCCAATGAAAACATGTGAGATTTAAGACTTTAGCTATATTTCAAAACATTACAGGAAGTTTCAGTGAGTATCCCTTGTCAGTTGCTTCAAAAACTCACATCTTGGGTCTTGTCCTTGGTCCAGAAAAGCAAAGCTTCTTTCACTGAGGGTTACTGAAGATATCTCATGCATCTATTTGTGTTCTTAAAACACGTGAAAAATGTATGGCTGGTCCATGGATCTAGAAATATCTCCTAGTGGGACAATTTCCATATTTCCACAAAGGCTTTCTATTATCTCAATCTTTCAGAAAAGTATAAAGGTATACAGAGCAGAAGTCCAAAATATAAAGATACTTAAATATAATGTCAGAATCTACTGTACAAAGGTAGTTAAAATTTTACATCCCCTGGAAAATTTCTTCATAGAAAAACAGAGATAATTTCTTTGCATGACTATATAAATATTGACCTAATTAGTGGAAATTAACCTGGACATTCCCATTATCTGGTCACCCAAGTAAGCCAACAAAAAATTTGTCAACACCAAAATTTGTTTCTTGAATTTGTAACTTCTCTGTCAATAATGGTGAAGCAACCATGAATATTTTACTGTGATCAAGGATTTATAACATTCATGTGCCCAGCTATTTAGCTCTATAGCTAACAAGGAAATGCTGGGATTTAACTGTGAAAAAGTCAATGACAAACTTTCTTATGGGCAGAAGCAGAACTCTTCAGTCTTTCAGTCATTCAAATAGTATATTCCTAAGACCACTTCTTTTCTGATTAAAGGCATGTCTCTATATCTCCCCAATCTCATTCCAGGAAATTGAGATCTTCTACAAATTTTTACAAACAAAGGTGGATGAAATAAAACAACCCATCTAGAGGACTAGATACCAGTTGAAGACATACTGTAGCTTGGGCAGAAATTTTAATGTTTAACCTATCTATCTCATAGGTTATTCTATCAGGAAAAGAAATCTTCCATTTATATGTGTAGACATAGTCTATAACTTTTACATCATCAATATTTTTAATTAAAAAGACCGTAAGGCATTTATAGATTAATTATAATATTTGGAACAAATTCAAATGAACACTTTTCTTCTAGAGAACAATCCCTAGGGGAAAAATACTTGGTTCTTGCCAAGGAAAAAGACTTGGCTTTTGTCAAGAAAGAGTAACTGAATGCCAAGTAATGTGAAAATCTTGTAATGTGAAAAAAGAAATGCTAAAGTAAATTGAACAATAAATTATGTTTTACATTATGAAATACTGAGGTAAAGCCAGTAATATTTAAGCCAGAATAACGAGGAAACCAGCCCCAGATTCTCTTACCTAATCACTCCCTCAGCAAGGAGGACCTAACTTTGTTAATAGAAAGTCTGTGCCTAAGAAGCCTGAGACTTACAGGCAGAGAGCCTCAGAACTGAAGTTGAGATTCTAACACTTAGAAAAAGAGGTAATCATAGTTGTACAGTTTTAGGTTGGAGAAGAGGTTTTCAATCAAAACCTGAATCTGTGTCATATGCAACCATAATGATCATTAGTCCATTAATTCAATCCTCTACAGTATCAGTCCATTTTTACACTGCTATAAAGAACTGCCTGAGACTGGGTAATTTATAAAGGAAAGAGGTTTAATTGACTCACAATTCAGCATGTCTTGGGAGGCCTCAGGAAACTTACTATTATAGCCGAAGGCAAAGGGAAAGCAAGGCACCATCCTCACAGGGTGGCAGGAAGGATAAGTGCTGAACAAAGGGAAAAGAGCCCCTTTATAAAACCATCAGATCTCATGAAAACTCACTATCACGAGAACAGCATGGGGGAAACTACCCCCATGATTCAATTACCTCCACATTTTCTCTCCCTAGACATGTGGGGATTATGGGGATTACAATTCAAGATGAGATTTGGGTGGGGACACAAAGTCTAATCACATCATTCTACCCTGGGCCCCTCCCAAATCTCATGTCTCTTTCATATTTTAAAGAGACACTTATGCCTTCCTAATGGTCCCTCGATGTCTTAATTCATTCTGGCATTAGCCCAAACTCCAAGTCCAAAGTCTCATCTGAAAAGAGGCAAAAAATGTACTTCAAAGCATTTAAAAAACTAACAAGCAACAAAGAAGGATATGGTGACATGTTTCTCTGTCCTAGCTACTTGGAAGGCTGAGGTGGGAGTATCACTTCAGCCTAAGAGTTTGAGTTTAGCATGGGCAATATAGCAAGAGAGAAGAGAAGGGAAGGTAAAGGAGAAGGGAAGGGAGAAGGGAAGGGGGAAGGGAAGGGGGAAGGGAAGGGGAAGGGAAGGGGGAAGGGAAGGGGGAAGGGAAGGGGGAAGGGAAGGGGGAATTTAAGTCTTTAATCCATTTTAATTAGACTTTTCTATTTGGAGAAAAATAGAGATCTAGTTTCATTCTCCTACATAGGGACATCCAGTTTTCCCAGCACTATTTGTTGAAGAAACTTTTCCCCAGCATATGTCTTTTCCCCAGCATATGTTCTTGGCACATTTGTTGAAAATGAGTTCACTGTAGGTGTGTGGAAGGGAAGGGGGAAGGGGGAGAGGGAAGGGGGAAGGAAGGGGGAAGTGGAAGAGGGAAGGGAGGGGGAAGGGAGGGGAAAGGGAGGGGGAAGGGATGGGGAAGGGAGTGGGGAGGGGAGGGCAGGGGAGGTTTAATCAACACCATTAACAAATTTGACCAATTTACATAAGAGAACAATGTGCCCAAAAGCTGCAGAATATACATACTTTTTTAAAATTTTAATTTTTAATTTTTGTGGGTGCATAGTAGTTCTGTATATTTATGTGGTACATTACATGTTTGGATACAGGCATGCAATGCATAATAATCACATCATGAAAAATGGGGTATCCATCCCCTCAAGCATTTACCCTTTGCATTACAAACAATCCACTTATACTCTTTTAGTTATTTTTAAATGTACAATTAACATATTTTCGACCATAGTCACCCTTTTGTGCTATCAAGTAGTAAGTCTTATACACTCTTTCTGATTATTTTTGTACCCATTAACTATCCTTATCTCCCACCCTCTCACCTCCCCGCTACCCTTCCTAGCTTCTGGTAACCATCCTTCTATTCTCCACATCCATAAGTTCAATTGTTTTGAATTTTAGATCCCACAAATAAGTTAGATATCATGATGTTTGTCTTTCTTTGCCTGGATTGCTTCACATAATCTAATGACCTCTGGTCTTATCCATGTTGTTGCAAATGAGTGAATCTCATTCTTTTTAATGGCTGAATAGTACTCCATTATATATAAGTACCACATTTTCTTTATCTATTTATCTGTCAATGGACACATAAGTTGCTTCCAAATTTTGGCTATTGCGAATAGTGCTGAAAAAAACATGCGAAGGCCAATATCTCTTTGATATACTAATTTCCTTTCTTTTAGGTATACATTGAGCAAAGGGATTACTGGATCATATAGTTGCTCAATTTTTAGTTTTCTGAAAAATCTTCAAACTGTTTTCTATAGTAGGTGTACTAATGTACATTCCCATCAACAGTGTATTAGGATTCCCTAATATTTTGCTCATTTTTTCATTGGCTTATTAGATTTTTTTTTGAGATGGAGTTTCACTCCTGTTGCCTAGGCTGAAGTGCAATGGCATGATCTCAATCCACCACAACCTCCGCCTCCTGGGTTCAAGTGATTCTCCTGTCTCAGCCTCCCAAGTAGCAGGGATTACAGACATGCTCCACCACCCCTGGATAATTTTTATATTTTTAGTAGAGATGGGTTTTCACTATATTGGCCAAGCTGGTCTTGAACTCCTGGCCTCAGGTGATCCTCCCACCTTGGCCTCCCAAAGTGCCAGGATTACAGGTGTGAGCCACCATGCCCAGCCAGATGTTTTCCTATAGAGTTGTTTGAGCTCCTTCTACATTGTCATTATTAATTCTTTGTCAGATGGGCAGTTTGCAAATATCTTCACCCATTCTATGAGTTGTCTCTTCACTTTGTTGGTTGTATCCTTTGCTGTGTGGAAGCTTTTTAACTTGATGTGATCCCATTTGTCCATTTTTACTTGTGCCTTTCTGTGCTAGGGAAATATTGCTCAAGAAATCTTTGCACAGACCAATGTCCAAGAGAGTTTCCCCAATGTTATCTTGTAGTAGTTTCATATTTTCAGGTCTTAAATTTAACTATTTAATCCATTTTAATTAGATTTCTTGTATTTGGAGAAAAATAGAGATCTAGCTTCATTCTTCTACATGTGGACATCCAGTTTTCCCAGCATTATTTGTTGAAGAAACTGTCTTTTCCCCAGCATATGTTCTTGGCACCTTTGTTGAAAATGAGTTCACCGTAGGTGTGTGGATTTGTTTCTGGGTTCTCCATTCTGTTCCATTGGTCTATGTGTCTGTTTTCAGGCCAGTACTGTCCCATTTTGTTTACTATATCTCTGTAGCATAATATGAAGTCAGGTGACGTGATTCCTCCAATTTGGTTCTTTTGCTCAGGATAGCTTTGGCTAGTCTGCATCTTTAGTGATTCCATGTAAATTTTGGGATAGTTTTTTTCTATTTTTGTGAAGAACGTCACTGGTATTTTGATAGGGATTGTATTCAATCTGTAGGTTGCTTTGGGTAGTATGGACATTTTAACAAAATTGTTTCTTCCAATCCATGAACATCAAATATTTTCCCTTTTTTGTGTGTGTCTTCTTCAGTTTCCTTAATCAGTGTTTACAGTTTTCATTATAGAGATCTTCCACTTCTTTGGATAAATTAATTCCTAGGTATTTAATTTAATGTGTTGTTTTTTTAAATGGGATTATTTGTTCTTTTTCACATTGCTCACTGTTGGAATATAGACATTCTACTGACTTTTATATGTTGACTTGGTGTCCTGAAACTATGGAATTTATTATTTCTAATAGTTTTGTTGTGGTTATTCCAAATATAAGATCATATCATCAGCAAACGAAGATAATTTGACTTCTTCCTTTCCAATTTGCATTCCCTTTATATCTTTCTTTTGTCTAATTGCTCTAGCTAGGACTTCCAGTACTGTGCTGAATAACAGTGTGGACAGTGGGCATCTTCGTGTTCCAGATCTGAGAAGAAAGGTTTTCCACGTTTCACCATTCACTATGAGACTAGCTGTGGATCTCCCATATATAGCTTTTATTATGTTGAGGTATTTTCCTTCTACCCCCAGCTTTTTCAGGGCTTTATCATGAAGGGATGTTGAATTTTATCAAATACTTTTTCAGCATCAGTTGAAATGATCATATGGTTTTTACCCTTCACTCTGCTGATATGATGTATCACACTGATTGATTTACATATGTTGAAATCCCAGGGATAAATCCCACTTGGTCATGATGAATGATGAATTGTTGAATTCAGTTTGCTAGTATTTTGTTGAGGGTTTTTGCTTCAATATTCATCAGAGATATTGGCCTGTAGTTTTGTTTGTTGTTGTTGTTGTTGATATATCCTTGTCTGGTTTCAGTATCAGGGTCATAGTGGCCTCAGAATAAGTTTGAAAATATTCCTTACTCCTCTATTCTTCAGAATAGTTTGAGTAGGATTGGTATTAATTCTTTTTTAAATGTTTAGTAGAATTCAGATGTGAAGCTATCAGCTCCTGGGCTTTTCTTTACTTGGAGGCTGCTCAGGTTTTGGATTTCTTCCTCATTCAATCTTGGTAGGTTATTTGCATCTAGGAATTTGTCCATTTCTTATAGATTTTCCAATTTATTGGTATATAATTGTTCATAGTAACCACTAATGATCCTTCGAATTTATGCAGTATCAATTTTAATGTCTCCTTTTTCATTTCTGATTTTATTCATTTGGATCTTTTTCCTCAGTTACTCTGGTTAAGTTCTATCAATTTTGTTTAACTTTAAAAAAAAACCTTTTGTTTCATTGATATTTTGTATTTTTATTTATTTATTTCTGCTGTGATCCTTATCATTTCTTTTCTTCTAGTTTTTGGCTTTATTTCCTCTTGCTTTTCTACTCCTTTAAGATGCTTTGTTCACTTGTTTATTTGAAGGGGTTTTTTTGGTGTAAGCACTTATAGCTATAAACTTCCATCTGAGTAATGCTTTCTCTGTATTTGATAGATTTTGGTATACTTGTTTCCATTATTTGTTTCAAGAAATTTATCAGTTTTCTTCTTTTTTTAAGTCAGTATAATTTATTTTTATAGTAGTCTACGTTCACGAGAATGCAGTAAGATTTTGCATTGATATATTTCTGCTGAGAGGTAATTGATATAAATCTAGAAAACCATTTGAAAGTAGGAACTGTCTTTCAAATGCCCCTCCTTTTAAAAAGACAAAGGAAATACCACAAAATTAATTTCTTCATGGACCCCACTGATTATTCAGGAGCATTTTGTTTAATTTCCATGTACTAGTATGGTTTCCAAAATTTCTCATTATTAATTTCTAGTTTTATTTCATTGTTGTCAGAGAAAATAATTGATATTATTTCAAATTTTTTGAATGTTTTTGGACTTGTTTTGTAACCTAACATATGATCTATCCTTGAGAATGATTTGTGTGCTAAGGAAAAGAAAATGTTTCCTGCAGCCACTGGATGAAATGTTCTGTAAATACTTATTATATCCATTTAGTCTTTATTGCAGATTAAGTCTGAAGTTTCTTTGTTAATATTCTATCTGAAACACCTTGGATACAAAAGAAATTGATAAATTGAACTTCATCAAAATAAAAACTTTGGCTCATAAAAACTGTTAATGATATGAAAAAGCGAGCCATACATTGTGAGTATGCTTACAATACATATGTCTGAATAAGAACTTGTATCTAGAATGTATTAAGAAGTTTTACAAGTCAAGACAAGCCATATGATTTTTTTTAATGTTCAACAGACCAGCCAAGAATTATATGCTCAACATCTTTAGTCATCCAGGAAATGCACATTAAAACCAATCCAACTGTTACTGAGGATGCGGAATAACTGGAACTCTCATATGTCCCTTGTGGAAGTATATAATTTTACAGCTGTGTTGAAAAACTTTTTGATAGTTATAAAATTTAGTCTTTACCCTCCCTCCTAACAAGCATATATCTATAATACTACAACCCATGTGTCTTGGATAAAGACCTGTTAATGGCCCGAAATAAATCCCTGTATGGGCAGATATAAACACACGTGTGGTCCAGTGCAGCTCAGTGTATGGCAAGATATAGCCCCCTGTGTAGACAGACACAGAACTGGGTGATATCATATGCAAAACTTATACAAATGCAATCATAAAAGTAATCAAATACTGACCTTTGTGTTTTCACATACAAACCTGTCTGTTCATATATAGACTTTGTGTTCAGTTAGATACAGACCCAGGTATCACTGGATACACACCTATATATGGTCATAGAGACATACATGCTGCTGGATACAGATCCAAGTGCACAGTCAAATACAGACTCCTATATAATGACTTTCAAACCTGTATATGGTGAGATACAAGCCTACGTGTGTCTGAATACAGACCTATGCCCGTGGCTTTAAAGATTGTGCCAGGAAATGCCAGGAAAAGACACTGAGTCCTCTCTTGTCAGCCCATTGAAAATATTAATCAAATGAAAATAAGAGAATTCCCTTTTTAAATGAAAAAGTCAAAAGGCAAGGCATATATAGACTGTGAAGATGTTTACAACTTTTTGTAATCTTTAAGTTCAGTGGTACATGTGAAGGTTTGTTATGGGGGTGTCATGGAGGTGTGTCATTTTAGAAGTCTGACATAGGGGTTTGGTGTATGGATTATTTCCTCACCTAGGTATTAAGCCTAGTACCCATCAGTATTTCTGTGATCTTCTCACACCTCCCACCCTCCATCATGTCTGTTGTTCCTCTCTATGTGTTCGTGTGTTCTCATAATTTAGCTCCCACTTAGAAGTGAGAACATGTGGTGTTTGGTTTTCCATTCCTGTGCTAGTTTGCTAAGGATAATGGCCTCTGGCTCCATCCATGTTTCTGCAAAGGACATGGTCTTATTCTTTTTTATGGCTGAATAGTATTCCATGCTGTGTATGTACCACATTTTCTTTATCCAATCTACCAATGATGGGTCGTTATGTTGGTTTCGTGTCTTTGCAATTAATAGTGCTGCAATGGGCATGTGCATGCATGTGCCTTTACGTTAGAATGATTTATATTCTTTTGGGTATATAACCAGTAATGGGGTTGCTGGGTCAAATAGTAGCTCCATTTTTAGGTCTTTGAGGAATCGTCACATGGTTTTCCACAATGGTTGAACTAATTTACACCCCAATCAACACTGTGTAAACATTCCTTTTTCTCTGCAACCTCGCCAGCACCTGTAATTTTTTTACTTTTTAATAATAGCCATTCTGACTGGTGTGAGATGGTATCTCACTGTGGTTTTGATTTGCATTTCTCTAATGATCACTAATATTGACCTTTTTTCATATGCTTGTTGACAGCATGTATGTCTTGTTTTGAAAAGTGTCTGTGCATGTCTTTTGCCCACTTTTTGATTGAGATTTATCAGTCAAGACTTCACAATAAGTGTCTTATTCTAGGTAGGAAAATGAGACATTATAATACACCATTTTGCTCAAAATAAACAAGTAGGGTCATGAAACCCTAAATATAATTTTATGAAAAGTATTCAAGCTTTACAAAACAGTCCTAAGTTTTGTTAGGAAAAATAAATATTTAGAAATTGCAAGAGAGCTGAAAAAGATTAGTAATTAGGGGAGACTATTTCTATTAAGTATAAATAAATATTTAAAATCCTTGACCACTGGGATAGTGTGTTGGTGAAAAAAAAAACAAAAAAACAAGAAAAGAAGAAACAGAAGAAGTGTCCTGAGATTGAACCTTCTAGATGTAAAGAATTTGACATACTAAAAGGATAAATTCCAAATTACTATTGAAAATAATTAATGGATTAGATTGGCAGATTATTTTACCTGCTTAGGAAAACTAGACTTCAATATTTTCTTATGATAAAGAAAAATAAATTTTCAGTTGGCTGGAAAACAAATGTTTTTGTAAAGTAATTTTTTTAATGGGGACGACTGGAGGCAGGAAAGAGGGAGGTGGGCAAGGGCTCAAAAACTACCTGCTGGGTACCATGCTCACTACCTGGGCGTGGGTGCAATCATACTTCAAACCTCAGCATCATGCAACATACCTTTGTAACAAACCTGCACATGTGCCTCCTGATTCTAAAACAAAATCTGAAAAGAAAAATAAATAAATAAGGTGTTAAAATGCATAAAGTCACTAGAGGGAAATGGAATTTACTGAGGTGTGATATGACAGAAAAAATAAGAAGTAAAAAAGTTAAGATAAAACATTTCTATATAAAAACATCCATAATTGTAGCATCAACAACATAGTAAGTTAAATATTTATAGCAAATATCAAAGAATGGTATGAACATATATGCAACTTTGATATGGAAAAAGTTTATCAGAATGTATCAGTAAAATTTCTGACTCCAATAGATTAAGAATAAAAGGAAACAAGTAATTAACAAAGTTTATGGAGTGGGCTCTATGTGTCAGACATTGTGCAAGGAACAGAGAGCACAAAGAGAAGTAACTTTCCCTGACTTCAGGGAACTTTCAGACCAATAAATGTAAACAGACAATTAACCAAGATTTTTTTATTTCATCACTCAGTAGAACCATACAAATTAGAAAATTAATTACATGTCCAAAAATGCAGGACCTAGTTATATAAACTCTGGTACTACCAAATGCTCAATACTATTTGGAGAATGGTGCTATGTTTTGGAAGAGCTTGGATGATATAAGAAATCTCCAAGTAATAATAATAAGGATAAAAATAATAATACAAAGTGAACTCATATAGTGTGATTTATCAGGGAAATTGACTTATGTTTTTCCCTAGCCTTAGTCCCTCATGAATCCAGACTACAGAGGAGAAGCAGGAACAATGAGTTTTTTTGATTACATGTTTTCTACCTGTAGTCAGGGGCAGATAAAATTTTATTTCAAGCCTGATTCAAAAGAAATTTTCACACAGATTTTTATGAATGAAGTGTCTTTCCAACGAAACAATATGTTTTAGTCCTGTTTTTTACCTAATAATCTGCATTCTATCAATAAAGAAAGTAAGAATGGAAGCATCACATATTGCCAGCATCTTTCTTTTCTTTTTCTTTCTTTTCTTTTCTCAGTGTTGCTCTGTCACCCATGTTAGAGCGCAGTAGCATGATCACAGTTCACTGCAGTCTTGACCTCCTGGGCTCAAAAAATCCTCCAACCTCAGCCTCCTGAGCAGCTGGAACCATAGACATGCACCACCACACCTGTCTATCTTCCTTGACAATGGTGTATTCCAAAATATTTACTATCAGGCTCTGCATTGCATATTTGAACTTCATAGATTATGGATTATGCTAATTTTACATATGAAAAGCAGAGCCTGGCTGTTTTTTAGAAGGCCATGAGAAGGGGGTATTGAAAATAGCAGAGGTATTATCAGATATTCTAAACATCTGGGAAGATCAATGGATCATTTTTTTTAATTTTTTTATTATTATTATACTTTAAGTTTTAGGGTACATGTGCACAATGTGCAGGTTAGTTACATATGTATACATGTGACATGCTGGTGCGCTGCACACACTAACTCATCATCTAGCATTAGGTATATCTCCCAGTGCTATCCCTCCCCCCTTCCCCCACCCCACAACAGTCCCCAGAGTGTGATGTTCCCCTTCCTGTGTCCATGTGTTCTCATTGTTCAACTCCCACCTATGAGTGAGAATATGCGGTGTTTGGATTTTTGTTCTTGCGATAGTTTACTGAGAATGATGATTTCCAATTTCATCCATGTCCCTGGATCATTTTTACATAAATACAGCACCAAATCAAGCTGCTTCGCCTGAGGACTTAATATGATTTCTCAATTGGAGAAATAAGTAAGATTTAGTTATTTTTCTGCATGTCTCCCTTTTTCATTCAGATTCTTTTAGTATACTCAGTCTCCTTATGAATAATACTGAAGGAAGCATTATTCCTCTTCAACCTTAATACACTAGCAATACTAACAAAATGATATATAAATAGTATCTTACAAATACAAAAATAAAATATATACTTCAAATACTAATGTGGTCTGTATTTGTGTGAGGAGGAGTAAATGAAATTTTTATGTCTTATTTCTTAATTCATTCTTCTGAAATCTGTAATGAGCACTATTAATTCTGAAAAAGGATTAACTTTATTTAAAAGAAAAACATGAGAAAAACTTTCATAAACTTAAATAAATTTATAGTATTAATAACATAAATTTATCATCTCGAGAGCCATTCTACAGACAAAAAGTGAACATATATTTTTCCAATAAATTATTAAAATCTTCTAAATATATTTTGATTATTGCAAGTATTCATGTAATAAATGATTTTCCCTGCATGCTAGTTATTAAACCTGAGGAAAATTTCATGGCAATTAAATAATCACAAATGGCTTTCCTGGAGGGAGCAACTCTTCACTGAAAATAGATGATACATTTGTCTGTCACCTCATTTTCTTTTTCTGGTCCAGAGCTTCTTCATAGCATTTTTCATCTCTGCATTTCTTAAAGTATAGATTAGAGGGTTCAACATAGGGGTGATAACAGTGTAAAACACAGTCAAGGATTTATCAATGGGTAAGGTCGAAGGAGGTCTCACATACATCAAAATACAAGGGACAAAGAAGAGGATCACCCCAGTGATGTGGGAGCCACAGGTGGATAAGGCTTTGGGCCTCCCTTCCTCACTAAGATTCTTCAGGGAGTGCAGAATGACCCTATAGGAGATGAGTAAGAGCATAAAGATGACCACACAGATTGCCCCATCATTGGCAACCACAGTGAGGCCAATAACGTAGGTGTCAGTGCAGGCAAGTTTTAATAAAGGGTACATGTCACAGATGAAATGCTCAATGACATTGGGGCCACAGAAGGGAAAGTTGTAAACAAAAAGAAGTTGAACTACAGCATGCAGGAAACCTCCAGCCCAGGCCAACAGCAGCAGTAGAATGCACACCCGTTGGTTCATGATGGTCAAATAATGCAGGGGTTTGCAGATGGCCACGTAGCCTTCATAGGCCATGACAACCAGGAGTAAAATCTCAGCACCCCCAAATGGGTGTCCTATAAAAAGCTGGGTCATGCAAGCTTGGAACGAAATGGTTTTCTTCTCATAGAGTAAGTATATAATCATATTTGGGGTAACTGTAGTAGAATGAACAGCATCCATAAATGATAAGTAGACAAGGAAGAAGTACATGGGGCATCCAAAGTTGGGCTGACCACCACAGTCACAACAATGAATATGTTGCCTACCATTGTCACAATGTAGATGAGCAAGAACACAACAAATAATATTTTCTGTCCCTGGGGGCTCTGAGTGAGCCCCACAAGGACAAACTCAGTCACATTGTTCCTTTGCTCCGTACGTCTTTCTGTATGTCCTTATTCCAGTGTTCAGGACAAAATTACCTAAAAATATAATTATTACTAGTAACTTCATGAAATTTTAGGATAATTTGTTTATTCATTCAACAAACAGGTAAAACATGGTCCCCAACCTCAGCAATCTTACAAATTAATGGAGAGAGAAATAAGTAATTTGGGATGTATATGGGAAAAGGACAGTTTATTAAATAAAAGAGTTTGCCAAAACTAGTTTTACATCTGGAAGATCATAAAATTATACATATAGCTAATACCATAAACAAAAATAAATACAAATGAATTAAAGATTTAATATAAAACTAAAGCTAGATTTACTTTATATTTACTTTCCAGTTAATAAAGGAGATGACTTTCTACATTCTCTGGATGGGAGAATCTTAATAATTGAAATCCAAAATAAACATATTTGACAATTTCAAAATTGTTTAAGAATTTGGGAAAAGATACCATTTAAAAATATTTATAATTTTGAGGACACAGAGTTAATATTTAAAATAGAGTGCTCTAAGCAATTAATAATAAGAGACAAACCAATAGCAAACTGGGCAAATGATAGAAACCAGCAATTTAAAAAAAACAGTACATTAAAGTGGCCAAATATAATAGGGTGCTGAAGTTCACCTATAAATAGAAAAATACAAAATAAAAAACAAATATCATCTTATATTCATGAAACTGACAAAAACATTTTAAAAGTGATAGTAGCTATAGCTAGCAAAAATAAAAAAGGGTATTTTCTTACACTGATAGGGAAAATATGGATTTTATAATATTTTTGGAACAAAAGTTAGCAATCTCTAATGAAAGTAAAAATATCTTTCAACACAACTGCTCCCTTCAAAAGCTATCCCATAGAAATTAGAGCCCTAGAACATAAGGACAGATGCATGGCAGGTTTTTGTGACATTATTTATAATAGCACTAAACAAACAAAAAATGTGGAATACAGATATTTAAAACAATTAATTGCAGCCATTTCAGTATAATAGTATGATTCAGCAAACAAAATAAAAATACTGTACATGTATCCATTTATAAGTGTTTGTGTATGATTATATGAGCATGGGAAAATAATGAAGGATATACGTTTTTTGTTGTAAGCAGGGTTTACATTTGCATTGGTGATGTGGGGGAGAGGAGAGAAGTTGTGTGTGAAAGAATAAAACTAACGAAGAGGAGAAGAAGGAAGGAAGGAAGATGGAGGAAGATGGAATAAAAGAGGGAGGGAAAGAAATAGGGGAGAAGGGAGGCACGGAGGGAGGGAAGAGAAAGTTAGAGAAAAAGAAGGCTTCACACACACACAAAAAAAAACTATATCATAAGTAGTGACAATATTCACTAGCCCAGCTATCTCCTAAAATAATCCTAGTAATGACAACTAGTCACTAAGTCTCTGTTGACATTACTTCAATCTAACCTCATAAATGATGTCCCATCTGCTCTTCAAATACACAGATTGTCTGTGTTGCTAACTATGGCCAACCTCTCTAGAGTTGCACTAGATTGCGTGCTCTTTACCACTCTTAAGAACAGTGTTCCTTCAATTTTCTCCATTTCGAACATCAACAATTTTCCTCCCTATATTGCATCCTTCTTCCAGCATATTTGTATGATCTATCCCCACGTTTAAAAATATATTTATACCCTTGGACCGCAGATTTCTTTCAAGCAACCACCCCATCTTGATTCTCTGCTATTCTTTCTAAATAACACTTTCACTTTACTAAATCCAGTGGTCAATTTCAATACTCTTCTTACTTGACCTATCATTCCTATGAATTGAGGAAACACCTTGCTTACTTAAGTCTTACCTTGGGTTCTTGAAAGTCACTCATTCCACTTCTACAGATGCTACATCATCTAATTTTTAGCATATTAATCAATGCATAGAGAACGCACTGCTTGATCCTATAAAGAGATTTACAAATACCTGCCCATTAAAATATCCCCCAAATGGTTACATTTGAAATTAGTTTCTAAGAACACTGATGTAGAGAAAGTAAATTTATTCTGTTATTTAATGATAAAATATCCAAAAAAGTATTACAGAATTGAGGCAATTCACATATAGTTTAGCAATCATGAAGAACCACTAATGTGGCTTATTATCAGAATCACTTACACAACTATTAAAAGACAGAATTCCCACATCATCAGTGTTACTGCATAATGTAAAGCCTAGTTCAGAATCTCACACATAAATACCTTCCTGGGTATCTGCATAAGAAGACAGTAATTCATTCCGAGTTCTGATGATGGTACCTTCCCTCTTGTCCTAAAAAAAAAAACAGCTGTGTACACTGACACCATCTGTGTGAACACAGAGAGCAAAATAACACATGAATCATCACTGGACCTTGAAATGCTTCCATGTGATCAACGTTTTCCATGCTTGTAGAAAGTCTGATTTATCTCAGTCTTTCAGGGGGAAAAAAGGTTACCTTTTAACTTACTGAGATTTTCAAAATGAATATCAAGAATGTTCTGTAACCTAAAGAAGCCTCAATCTTGATTGTGAACTGAGACCCAAAATATTCACTGTTGGCAAAATTTGTCCTAATAACAAACACATGTTATATAAATACTTTTTTATTTTTTATTTTAATGGATACACTATAATTGTATATGTTTATGGGGTATAAATGATATTTTGACAAAAGCACACAACATGTAATGATCATATCTGGGTAATTTGGATATCCATCACCTCAAACATTTATCATTTCTTTATGTTGAGAAAATTCTAAATTTTCTCTTCTAACTGTTTTGAAATACAGTCAACTATAAACTATAGTTGCCCTATCATGATCTTATTCTTCCTACCTAACTGTATTTCTGTATATATTAATCAACTCCTCTTCATCCCCTCTCCTCACTACCCTTCCCATCCTCCGATTACCACCATTCTATTCACTACCATCATGAGGTCAATTTTTTATCTCCCACATGAGTGAACACCTGCAATATTTGCCTTTCTGTGCCTGCCTCATTTTATTTAATATAATATCCTCCAGTTCCATCCACATTGCTGCAAATGGCAGAATTTTATCCTTTTTATTACGTTATCTCACCCCAGTTAAAATGGCTATTATGAAAATAACAGAAAATAAATGCTGATGAGGATGCAGAGAAAGGGGAATGATCATAATATGTTGGTAGGAATGTAAATTAATACAGCCACTATGGAAAACAGTATGGAGGTTCCTCAGAAAATTAAAAATAGAACTAGCATATATCTAGCAATCCCACTGGTAGTTATATATCCAAAAGAAATGAAATCGGTATATCAAAGAGATACCTACATTCCCATAATTTGTGGAGCACTATTCACAATAGCCAAGATACGGAATCAACCCAAGTGTTCATCAAAAGATGAATAGGTTAAATAAGCATTTTGAAGTTAAGAAAAAACTCGAATTTGTGGGAGAGAGAATTGTGACTTTTTACTATAAATATTTGTATTTTATACAAATAAAAGTAAAATAATGAAATAGCCTTTACAACATATTGCTCTTCGATCAGTTATATGAACCTGTATTCATGCCACGTAGTTGAACCTTGGGTAATAGGAAGGATGGAGAATAATTTTCATCCTTATTTTATCATGTTTGAGTCTATCATTTTAATTCCTAAAAAATCAGTCATGTGAATACTGCTATAGACAAATACTCTTCGAAATAAGGGCAGAAGTCTGTGGATACTTTATCCACATTTGAACTACAGCACATATTGTTGAGTCATTCAACTGGTGCATCTCCAAAGGTGATTCTTCTCTAATTAAATTCATTGGGACCTTCATCATAATTCTGAGGGTAGGCTCTGTATCTCCAGAGACGCCACAGGGATAATAACTATGTATAACAAGATTTATAGAACCATGTCCTCTAGGGAAAAAATTACAAAAGAATAACAAAGTCAAATCACCAAAAGGAAACAGTCCAGTCTGAATGTAAATGAAATATATAAAACCTAGTATTTAAATCATGACCTGCAAAATAGGCAAATCTGTTGAGTGTATAGTCACAGACAAGCTTCATTAAGGGGTCCATGTTACAGACAAAATGACCAATGACATTGGGGTCATAAGATGGGAGCCCATGAATAAGGTCAAGTTGTATTACTGTGTGCAAAAATCCTCCAGCCCAGAGCACAACCAGCAGCACAACACACAGCCATTGCTTCATGACAACCAAATACTGCAAGGACTTTCAGATGGCCCTATAAGTGGTCTAGGCCATCACCAACAGAAGGAACACCTGAGATCCACCAAGAAAAAAGTGTGCTGTGAAGAGCTGGGTACTGGGTCATACAACATTTGAGAGAGAAATGCATGTTTGAGTACGGAGTGGTTGTGCATAGTCTTATAGTCCATGAAAAGGCCAATTAGCTTTAGTGTAAATTTCGTTAATCATATACCTTACTTTATACCAGTCAATTTATCTCAGCATTTCTAAGTGACTGCAAGACCTTTTATGTGGGAAAAAAATGGTAAAAATTAAAATAAAAGGAGAACATGCAGAGACAAAGTGGAGATCAATGCTGTTGAATACATCAGAAAGTTCACCAACTGCCAGGAGGCACGCACAAGGTGTTTTGAAAAAAGATGATGGCCTAAATATGTATGTTTAATTTTGTATCATCCTTATTTTAATTAGAGCTGAATTAATTATAGTAGGTTAAGTTTGCTAAAATATGTTTGTGTGTGTGTGTATGTATCATGTTTATTTTATTTTTAATAAAATGTGTAGTTTTCAATCAAGGAGAGATGTTATTGATACTCATCCAGGTCAGATAAAATTCCCCTTTCCACAAACAGAAACTCCTCTCCAGTGAGTTTACTTATTCATGTCCTTTCAGTTTATTGTCTCTTGTCCCTGGAAGTGGTTATGTAAACAGTTAATACGTGCTCTTGGGTCTCCTTTGAACACTCCTAACCCCCTACCTTTTGAGTAGCTCTCTATCACATCATTTGTTTCATGTTTTACACCTTTCCACTCTGTTATATTTTATCTTTTTATGTATATGCTTACTTGTTTATTGTCTCTCTCCCCCTATAACAGAAAATATTTCTTGGGATGGGCATAATGGCTCACACCCGTAATCCCAGTCCCTCCTGCAGGAACACTGAATTTCAACAACTAATTGCACACACACAAAAGCACAAGCATAACAACAGAAAACCAGGTGAGCAATCCAAGTACCTGGTTTTAACTTCACATCACTGAATGAAACACACTTAAGAGGTTAGGAAAGACTGTCTTAAATCGCTCCTCGATTCCACAGCAGTGGCTGCATGGTGCAAAGAGATAATCTGTGCACTTGAGGAAAAAAGAGTATAGACACGGGGTTTGGCATTGAACTCAGTGCTACCTTGTCACAGCAGAGAGCAAAGCCATGCTGAGCTCAACTGGCACCCACCCATGGAGACTGCATTTGGACCAGCTCTAGACAGAGGGGAATCACTCATCCCAGAAGTCAAAACTAGAATTTCTTGGCAAGTCTCACCACTGTGGGCTAAAGTGCTCTGGGGTCTTAGGTAAACTTCAAAGGCAGCCTAGGACACAAGGCCTGCAATTCCTAGGCAAGTCCTAGTGCTGGGTTGGACTTAGAGCCAGTGCAATAGGGGAGCACATGACCTACGGAGACACCAGCCAGGGCTGCCAAGGGAGTGCTTCTGCCACCCCTCCCCTGACCCCAGGCAGTGCAGCTTGCAGCAACAAAAGTGACTCCTTCCTTCTGCTTGAGGAGAGGAGAGTGAATTGTGAAGAGTAAAGAGGGCTTTGTCTTGCATCCTGGATGCAACTAACTGACCACAGTAGGATAGGGGACTGGGAAGAGTTATGAGGCCCACATCCTAGGCCCTAGCTCCCTTCTATGTGAAGTAGCAAGCTTCTGTACATAGAGAAAATCACACACATATATTTAAATATATTTACATTTAAAGATTATTACCTGAAACATCTTAAGAAATGGATAATAGTGACTTTCTCTGTTGAAGAGAACTAGGAGACTGCACTCAGACATGGACAAGAGATTTATTTCTCATTTTATATTATTTTGTACAGTTTCCATTTTTACTATTTATGATTATCCATTTGGCTTTCAATTCTTCTTTTAAAAGGTAGAAATATTACATTAAAAATCTGTATACAGTACAAGTTCAATTGGATGAAAAGGACTGCATTGATATAAAATATACCATTAACTATTTTAAATAGTATAAGAAGAACAATGAACTTAAGGACAAGAATCTAACTAAAAATGAAATTAAGTCTCAGAAAGAAAGGCAAAAACATACAGGCATAACTTGATTAAAAATCAATGTAACTCTAAAATTTCTTAACTAATTCACTACATATTATTGCCTCCTTGCTTTATGCATTACACCTTTACAGATAAAATGGAAAACAAGACATTATAGATCTTACATTCTAGCAGAGAGATCAACTGTTATTAATAACACAATCATACTGTTCATTCTTTAATAATAATTGTAAATTCTTTGAAGAAAGGGAAGATGGCATCAGATTTAAAAAAACTCCTGGGTCCCAAGGAGAAAGGCTGTAAAGTCAAATGACTCTCTTCCTGGTGGGTAACTCACTTATGTACTACTTGATATGAGGTCTCTTCTCCAGAGCTTCTTCATAGCACTTGTCATCTCAGAATTTCTCAGAGTGTAGATTAAGGGGTTCAGCATTGGGGTTATGACTGTATAAAACACACTCACTGATTTGTCAATGGGGAAGGTCCTAGCAGGTCTAGCATACATAAAAATACAAGGAACAAAGAAGAAGACAACCACAGTCATGTGGGAACTGCAGGTTGAGAGGGCTTTTTGCCTCCCTTTCTGACTAAGGTTCTTTAAAGAGTGCAAGATGACACCATAAGAGATGAGTAAGAGCAGAAACACAATAGTGCAAGCCAGTCCTCCATTGGCCACCACTAAGAGGCCAATAGCATGGGTGTCAGTGCAGACCAGTTTCAATAAGGGATACATGTCACAGAAAAAATGATCAATGACATTGGGGCCACAGAATGGGAGCCCATAAATAATGCTAAGTTGAAATACTGAGTGCAGAAATCCTCCAACCCAGGACACTACCAGCAGCACAACACACACCCATTGTCTCATGATAACCAAATAATGCAAGGGCTTACAGATGGCCACATAGCAGTCATAGGCCATCACCAACAGGAGAAAGACCTCTGACCCACCGAAAATGTGCTCGATAAAGAGCTGGGCCATGCAAGATTGGAAGGATATGGAATTATTCCCAAAGAACAAGCCTGAAATCAATCTGGGGGAAATGGATGAAGAATAAATGATATCTATAAATGATAAGCCAGCAAGAAAGAAGTACATTGGTGAGCCCAGGGTCTCACTGACAGTTACGGTCACTACAATGAGCAGGTTGCCCACCATGGTCAAAATGTAGAAGAGCAAGAACATAACAAAAAGTACTTTCTGCTCCTTTGGATTCTGTGTGAAGCCCAAGAGGACAAAGTCAGTCACATTTTTCCTTGGCTCCATGTATTCTTTACAGCTGCTTACTTCAGATCATATAAGCAGTTTACCTATAAAACAAGGGGGGAAATCTTTAAATGCATTATGATTTTAATATTGTATTTACTCATTCAATTAAAAATGTGTATGCAGCATCTATGTCAAATCTGTCATAGACTTTGGAATTGCCAAGTTGAAAAAGACACAATTTTGTACTCTCAGTGATTTGGTAAATAAAATACCAAAGGGAATAAATTAAATACCAATTAAATAGGTGTCATAATAAATATATTGACATTATTGTAAGGGTTCACAGTGCTAAAACACTAAATCAAACTAGGATCAGGAAAGACTTTTCAGAGAAAGCAATGTCTTAGCTGAGATATAAAGGAAAGGTGATAATTAACTACAAGAGAGGATGGGAAGGGAATTCCACATAAAGATGCATCCTGTATAAATTCACAGATGTATAATACTCGAGAAACCACTTAAGGTAACTTACATTTTCAAACTGGGAAGAGCTAATTATGAATGGATCTTTGTATGTGACTACCAACTGACATGTTCAATTGATACCAATTTTTAATTTTCCCGATCAACCCATTTCTTCCTTATTTTCATTTCATTAAATGTTGCTACCTACCACGTTATTGTTTAAACTAAAAATTTTACAATCTATTTCACTTCTCTATTTCTTTCATATTATTTATCAGTATATTTTTTTCAAACCCTGTTAACTCTTCCTTCAAAATATCCCAATTGGATCCTTCTCACTACCATCTTGTTACCCCCTGGCCTACTCTAATAGCCCCCTGCAAAGTCTCTCCACTCATCTTCTGGCCTCTAATAATGTTCCTTCATGAAGTAGCCCAAATGATCTTTCGAAAATCTTATTAATATCATACCACTCCTCTACTCAAAAACCCCATGGTGGATTTCTATTCTGCACTCAATAAAATGCAATCTTTCTACCTTGGCCTACAAGACCCTAGATGACCTGGATCCAGGCTACCTCCCCAAATCCATCCCTTACAATTGTCCACATTTATCCTGCTCCAGACAGTTTTGATATTCACCAAATATACAATGTGCTTTTCCATATCCTTAATTTAATCTATTTTTTGTGGACACTTATTTCAGAGATTAGAAGCCACTTACTTCTAAAATAATGGTCAATATTGTGGAAATGTGTATTGTAAGTATAATCTTTTATTTATTCATTCAATTGAAAAATGTTTATATGACACCTACATTGTGTTATGCCTCTCAAATAAAGTAGACTCCCAGCCATCAGAGAATGTTCACAAACTCATTCAGGGTTAGGGTTTAGGCCAGAAGTGATTATCAGAGGAGAAATATTAGTGCTAACCAAGGAATCTTCTTTTCACCATTAGTCACCTACTTTTCCAAACAGAATTATACCTCCTGAGGTGAAAAGATACATAATAACTCTATTTTAATCTATTAATGATAAATAGTATATAAATACTGGCCAAGAACTTTCTAATTTTCTTCTCAATGATACTGAACTTTCCCTGAGGAAGTCTCCATTGAGCTAGTTGACTTATCTCTAATCAACAGCCTTATTTTAGATGCTGTGAAAACCAAAAGCCTTATTTACTGGGCTTTTACATAAACCATATGTTTAATATGCATGTAGAAAATGCTTCATTTTTCTCAAAGTGTCTATAACACTCTGGTTTTAGAAAATAATTTAGGTAGAAAGTGATAGATGATGATGAAGAAGATAGATAATAGATAGACAACTATTTTATGAGAAATATCTAAACCAGTAAATAAATTTTTCTAACACTTGCTGTAAGATATCAAATGCTAATCAGTACTCTGTGTCATATTTTGTAAATGAAATCATCATATAAGTTTATTGAGTTTTTTTGAGTACCTAATGAGTTAATAAAAAAATATGGGAGCATATGTAGTACCATGCTTGTATCAATATGGATAAAGTATCTGGAAGTCTTTGCTGAGCATCTTTTGGTGCTGCTGAGATTATTCCACTGATGGGGATGGTCCATGGCTGTTATGTGACCATCTGCACTACATGACCATCATGAATCAATATAGGTGTAGCCATCTCACTGGAATGGCATGTACTGGAAGCTTTATCCAGGCACAGTTTAGATCCTCTCCCCAGTCTGACTTCCTTTCTATGATCCCAATGTCATAGCTCATTCATGTGTGACTTAAACACTTTGTTGAAACTCCTCTGCATGGGTACTACTAATACACTTGGTTTCTTTGTTGCTGCCAATGGTGGGTTCAACTACCTATTAAACATCATTTTCTTGATGGTTTCTTAAGTGGCCATCCTATGTACTTTGAAAACTCACAGCTTGGAGGAAAGATGCTAAAGCCCTCTCTACCTGCATCTCTCACACCACCGTGGTCATCTTATCTTTGGGTTCTGTATATCTGTGTATCTGTGCCCAGTGACCCTTCCCCAATCAATAAAGCAGTGGCTGTGTTTTATACCATGATAAATCCTATGTTAAAACCTTTAGTCTAACCCTCAGAAATGCAGAGGTGAAAAGTGCTTTGAGAAAGCTCTGGGTCAAAAGATGAACTGAAGAGAGAAATAATCCAAACATAAGATGATTTTACCCTTTCAGTGGTGAAGAGAAAATAATCTAATATCTAAGACTAAGGGCCAAGTAAATATCATATGTCAGAGATGATTCTGGCATATAAGCCATTTGAGCAAAGGTCCGTATAGAAAACTATTTATCATTACAAAAATACCCTTTAGAGTTATTTATTGTCAATTTGGTTGTTAATCTTCAGTGTACTGTCAGAATTCCACAATAAAGTGGTCAGACAAAAACCAATTTAGCAAGTGTGATTATAAATAATTTACATTGTGCTATGGCTACACAGCCTTGGAACTTCTAAATCCAACTGTGCTCTGGGTAGATTTCTCAGCGGAAGTGATACTTTAATGAGTTTAAAGAAGTGAGGAAAAGGATGGAAAAGGGAATTCCATGAAAAGATGTGCCATGTATAAACTCACTGAAGTATCACACTGAAGATGCACTTAATATATATATATTCATAGTGGGTAGAATGCATTTTGTGTGCAAGGCTATAGACCAAATTTCTTTGTATTATTTACTAGGGCTGCCACCTTATAACAATGACGCTTTTCCTCCACTTTCCAATAACATGTTCCTAATTTCCATTTTTGACCTTAACTACAAGGACCTTGACATTCAGATTTCTAGAAGCATTCAGTTCATGATGAAATATGTATTCTCTAAGATAATAGATGTTTTCTCCTCAGCTCCCCTCTTTCCTTTCTGAGCCTTCACCAGAATCACTGTTCAATGTCCATATTCCTACTCACAGTAACTTGAAGGATATCCAAGCTCTTTCTATAATGCACCCTCAAACTCTGGAGGTATCTGCCCATTACCCAGTTGCAAAGCCACTTCCACATTTGAGGTATTCATTGCAGCAGTACCCCACTCCCAGAACTGAAAGCTGTATTATTTTGCTAGAACAGGTACAATAAAGTAGAACAAACTGAGTGCTTTAAACGACAGAAATTTATTGTCTCATAGTTCTAGATCTTAGAAATTCAAAATTAACATATTAACAGTGTTGGTTCCTATGGAAGACTATAAGGGAAGGAGATGTTCCAAGCCTCTGCCCTTGGCTTATAAATGACCAACTATAGGTTCCTACAGAATACTCTTTGTATACATGTCTGTATCCAAATTTTCCTATCTATTAAGGACATCAGTCATATTGGATTAGGGTCCACCTCAATCATCTTATTTTAACTTGCATACCTCTGCAAAGACTCACCTCAAATAAGGTTATGTTCTGAAGTACTAAGAGTTAGGGCCCCAAAATATGAATTTGTTGGGGGGACATAATGAAACAATAATTGTCATAACACGCAATGTATGGTCCATAACTGTCACAGTACCAGATATCTTACCGACCCACTGAAACTTTCTTCTTAGTGTCTTTACTTGAATATTGCTCGTTTTCCTAACTTGTAAATTCTGAAGCAGTCTAAAATTGTATGTCTTTACTCCATTTCTCCCCTAATTTTCAAACTCATATCTGCAGCTATCTAATTGATGCCTCCAAACAGACTTCAATTTATGATTTATAAAAGCAAACTTTTAATTTTTCATAATATATCTATTCCTACCTAGGATTTTTTTTATCAAATTAATAAAATGGTACTCCTTTTGTGTTATTGTTCAGAACAAATTTTATCAGTGTCCTTCCTTCACCCTTTATTCTATACTTAATAAGGCCTGTGAATATTCTATTCACATTGTTTATTTCTATACTTAATAAGGCCTGTTCACTTTTCCTCTCTAATACATTACAAACTTGATCATTCTCACTACACCCCATTCGTTCCTGGTCTACTGCAATAGCCAGGTCTACCTACTTTCCTTTCGGCATTTGACAATCTGTGTTCCTGAAGCAGCCCAAATGATCTTTTTTTTGTTCTTATATTATTCAGATTCTATTACTCCTTTGATCTCAACCCCTACAAGATATTCCTATTATATGCTTAATAAAATCCAATATCCCTACCTTGGCCTGTATACTCAATAAAATCCAATATCCCTATCTTGGCCTACAAGATCTTAGATGACTGGGATCTAGGAAACCTATTCAGCTAATTTCCTGCAATTCTCTATGTTTACCTGCTCAAGGTTTTTACCAGTCCTCAAATATTCAAACTGCTTTTGCATCTTTTTAGTTCTATCTATTCTTTTGCAGATGCCAATCTTAGTAATCATAAGCAGTTTACCTCTAAATTAATGCTAAATATTGTAGAAAGGTGTATTATAAGTTCAGTCTTTCATTTATTCATTCAACCACCAAGTGTTAATTGAACACATATATTGTGTCACACCAATCAAATAAGATAGGCTCCCAGGCATCACCGAGCATCTACTACTCAATTCATCTCAGGATCTATACAAGGGGTCATTTTATCAGAGGACCAAAGTCTTGATGCTGTCTGAGAAATCACGTTTTCACCATGAGTCTCCTACTTCTCTAGGTGGAGTTATAACTTTTTAGGATATATCATGGTTGCTGACTTAACTTTTCTATTTTGTAAATATACTCATGACAAGTATCATATAAAACCTAACCAGCAACTTTGCACCAGCAAAATTTTTCAACATTTCAATTCTTATAAAATCAAATGATATAATTTCCTATGTAGTAAAAAATTCACACATCTGCAAAGCTTGGTTTCACTAACACCTGTTAAAATCTTACCTTTGGGAAGCTTATCTATGATTTGAAAAACACTTTACCTCACTCAAAAGGAGCTGGAAGTCTCTCTTCAATCCAATATGCACACAGAAGACAAAAAGCTGTATCATTCCTTGATGATATATTTGAAATCATATGGCCACGTCTGTCCATTGTCTTCAGAGTTTCTAAGTATTTCAGAAAATTATGACTTGCACTGTAGAACTATTTTAAAGAAATTCCATGGTGCAAAAAGAAAAATTAAAACTTTTCATGTTAGGATAATTTATTAAAAATACAAACAAATCCTATGTCTACATAAGAAGATAGTAACTAGCCTTTTTAAGAGGGAAATTTTTCTCTCATAACTTCTTTTCTAGTAATTTCAATAAAGAATAACTGCCGTTCCAACGTTTAGCCCATCTCACTCTCTTGTCTTCTTACGGCCAAGCATTCATGCTTGAAATTTGGAGAGGAAATTCTTGTCCCTTTTTTATGTCATGTGGTAAGCCTAATAAAACATCTTCTGAAATAATTAGCCCTTAAAAGGATAGTAACTTCTACCTGACAGAGGCAAATATTATTGAAGAGTTTGTACCTTATAAGCACACTAATCATGGAGTCCTGGAACTGGATTCTGTCCAAGACTGATTTTTGCTTAATTAAGTTCACAGGGATTTTCCACATATTTTTAAAGAACATTTGCATGTAGAGATATTGTCAGATCAATCACATAACTAGGGTCAGAAAGATGTAACAAGGGAGAAAAAAACAACCATTATAGTAGGATTGCCAATCAAGAATAAAATATCAGCCCAGCCGCTTCTCGCCAAGAAGATGAATTTATCACATTTTCCCCACTTTGCGATAGCAGCTTTTTTCCTTTTATCTAATTCTCCATTTTTTCTGCCTACAAGTGTAGGTTTGGATATGTTTTTAAAATATTTTATTTAGTTGTAATAACTATTTATCTATGTATTTATTATTCTAAAAAATTGTTATGAGCATCCTTTTCATGCCAAGTTCTATGCCATAAGCTTAAGATACAATAGTTAATGAAACAGAAAAAAAAAAAGCATAAAAGTCCTGCCTACATTAACTTTATATCTTCTAAGAAAGTCAGGAGAACAATTTAATAAATTACCATCTATGATCAGTATTTAAAATACTGAGTATTGTGATGAAAAATAAGAGTGAGATATTACTGTAAAGAAGGTAATCAGAGGTTTTTTTAAATGGTGATACTTAGCTGAGGTCCAAAGGACGAAACATTGCTCCACGGGAAGTATTGTTACATGTGGAAAGCTCCAATATTTAAAGAGCTGAGCAAGTGCAAGTCAACGGAACGTCTTAGTACCTGAAAGGAAATGGAAAAGAGAAAGGACAGAACAAACTGAGGTTGAAGAGATGGACAGAAGCCAAGCCCTGCAGGGCAGTATAGATCTTGGTAAGGAATTTGTATTTCATTGAAAGTTCTTTTTAAAGAAAAGTAAGGGGAACTTCTAATCTAGCATGTAAAGAACTTAGAAGTCACCACTGTAATCTAACAACAAGAAAAAAAGCTGAACAAAATAAATACCAACAATTCATCTTAAATCCAACAAAGAAGTGAGCTCACAACGCAAACCGCTGCCCTCAAAATTGCAGAGATAGACAGGCAGATAGAGAGAATCCCACCTTCCCTGAGCAAAAACCCACAAGCAGAAACCCCACAGGAGCCAATGCCAAGGAGGGTAGATGTAGGTCGGAAAACCCTGAACTTAATTGATGAACTTCTTAATGTGGAGAAGCCTGAAAGAGATGCCTGAAAGATAAAAACTCTAGGGGAGCCAGTCAAGGTGGGGCAGGGCAGGGGGTCTCTCACACTTTTGTGAGTTTTAACTTCATTATCCCTACCTGACACTCACAGAAGATGTTAGAAAAAGTCCTGTCCGTACGTTAAACAAAATTTTTAAAAAATATATCCAAACCCACACTAATGGGAAAAAAATCAAGTATTAGATAAAAAGAAAATAATTGCTATGGCAAAGTAGGGAAATAAGTGATAAATTCATCTTCCTGGAGATGGGGAAAAACATTTTTAAATATCCACAGTATTCTGTTCTTCTTAACAAGGCCTGCCCTCAGAAGAACCTACTGTTAGCCACACCCTAACTTGCTAGGGTTTTATTACAGCCTAACCTATTTGAAGTAAATGAAATACCCAATCATAGCCTTCTCTAAGGGCCTCTTATAAGGGCACTAATCCCATTTATCAGGGCTCTACCCTGATGGCCTAGTCTCCTCTCAGAGGCTCCACCTCCTAATACCATTACATAGGGGGTTAGAATTTTAATACATGAACTTCAGGGTGACACAAACATTAAATCCATAGCACCTTAAAAAACAGAAAGTACCAGGTCAGACAGGTTCACTGGTAAATTCTACCAAATATTTAAGGATTATATTATACCAGTTCTCTAAATCTCTTTTAGAAAATAGAAGAGGAAAGACTTCCTAACTCATTCAATGAAGCCCACCATACCCTATTCCCAAGAACAAAGACATTACAACAAAAGAAAACTTCAGACTAATATCTCTTTTTAACATATATGCAAAAATCCTCAACAAAATATTAGCAGATTAAATTCAACAATATATAAAGATAATTGTACACCAGGATCAACTGAGATTTAGTCCAGGTATTTCTGAATGTTGATTCCACCCTGCATACCTGGACTAAATCTCAGTAGATCCTGGTGTACAATTTAGTCCAGGTATGCAGGGTGAGATCAACATTCAAAAATCAATTAACATAATCCATTGTGTGAAATGTTAAAGGGAAAAAATCAAATTACCATATTAATAGATGCAGAAAAAGCATTTGAAAAAAATCTAACACCTATTTATGATTCTTAAAAAAAAATCCGTAAAGTAAGAATCTACAGCCAGCATCACACTTAATGGTGAGAAACTTGAAGCTTTCCTACTAAGACTAGGAAAAAGGCAAGAATGTCTCTTCTCATCACTTCTTGTCAACATTGTCCTGGAAGTCCTAGCTAATGTAATAAGACAAGAAAAAGAATAAAAAATATACTGATAGGAAGAAATAAAACTGTCAATGTCTGTAGATGACATGATCATCTATGTAGAAATTTTTTTAAATAAACAAAAAAATACTGGAACTAATAATTAGAGCAGAGTGGCAGGATCAAGGTTAATGTACAAAAGTCAATCACTTTTCTATATACCAGCAATGAACAAGTATAATCTAAAATTCAAAACACAATATCATTTACTTTAGCATTCCAAAAAAATGAAATACTCAGGTATAAATCTAACAAAATGTGTACAAGTGAGAAAAACTACAAAGCTCTAATTAACAAATCAAGGCAGGGCACAGTGGCTCAGGCCATTAATCCCAGCACTTTGGGAGGCTGAGGCAGGCAGATCACCTGAGGTCAGGAGTTCGAGACCAGCCTGAGCAACATGCAGAAACCCCGTCTCTACTAAGAAAAAATACAAAATTAGCCAGGCGTGGTGGCACATGCCTGTAATCCCAGCTACTTGGGAGGCTGAGACAGGGGAATCAATTGAACCTGGGAGGCGCAGGTTGCGGTGAGCTGAGATCACACCATTGCACTCCAGCCTGGACAACAAGAGTGAAACTCCATCTCAAAACAAAAAAGAAAAATGAAAAAGAAAAAACAAATAAAAAAACTAAATAAATGAAGAAATATTTCATATTCATGGATAGGAAGACTCAATATTGTCAAGATGTCTATTCTTCCCAACTTAATCTATGCATTCATTTTAATCCCAGTCAAAATTCCAGCAGGGTATTTTGTAAATATTGACAAACTAATTGTAAAGCTTATATGGAAAGGCAAAAGACCAAGAATAGCTAATGTGATACTGAGGGAAAGAACAAAGTTGGAGAACTGATACTACCCAACTTCAAGACTTGCTATAGAGGTACAGCAATCAAGACAATGTAGTATTGGTGAAGAAATAGATCATACAATAGACAAATCATGTCAGATACTTTGGAAGACAGTTTGGCAATTTCTTATAAAACTAAACATACTGTTATCATACAATCAAGCAAATGGGATTTTTGATATTTACTCAAGATGAAAATTTATGCCCACACAAAAACTCACACACAAATGTTTCTAGCAGCTTTATTCATAATTGCCAAAACTTAGAGGCCATGAAGATGCTCTTTATTAGGTAAGTGGATAAACAAATGTGTGCATCCAGACTATGAAATATTATTCAGTACTAAAAAGAAATGAACTACCAAGCCATGAAAACACATGGAGAAAACAAAATGCATATCACTGAGTGAAAATGCCTATTCGAATAGGTTATACATTGTACATTTCCAACTATATGGCATTCTGGAAAAGGCTAAACTATGGAGACAGCAAAAATATCAGTGGACATTAGGGTTTATGGAAGAAGGAGGGATAAATAAGTGGAGCACAGAGGCTTTTTATTTTTAGTTTTACTTTAAGTTCTGGGATACATGTGCAGAACATGCAGGTTTGTTACATAGGTATACACGTGCTATGGTGTTTTGCTGCACCCATCAAACCGTCATCTAGGTTTTAAGCCCCATATGCATTAGGTATTTGTCCTAATGCTCTCCCTTCCCTTGCCACCCATGGCCTGAAAGGCCCCAGTGTGTGATGTTCCCCTCCTTGGGTTCCTGTTTTCTCATTGTTGAACTCTCACTTACGAGTGAGAACATGTGGTGTTTGGTTTTCTGTTCCTCTGTTAGTTTGCTCAGAATGATGGCTTCCAGTTTCATCCATGTCCCTGAAAAGGACATGAACTCATGCTTTTTTATGGCTGCTTAGTATTCCATGGTGTATATGTGCCACAGTTTCTTTATCCAGTCTATCATTGATGGGCATTTGGGTTGGTTCCAAGTCTTGAGCACAGAGGATTTTTATGTCAGTTACTCTATTCTACATGATACTGTAACAGTAGATACATGTCATTATATATTTGTCCAAGCTCATAGAACATACAATACCAAGAGCAAATCCTAGTGTAAACTAAGAACTTTGAGTTAGATAGGTGTATCAATAGAGGTTTATTGTTGTAAAAGTGTACCACTGTGGTGTGTGGAATGTTGATAGTAGAGGATACTATGCATGTGTAGGTACAGAGGTTATATAGGAACTCTTTGTACTACCTGCTCAAATTCTGTGACACTAAAAAATAAAATATGTGTTTAAAACAATAACAACCCGACAAGCAATCAGGGAAAGGAAGCTCATACCTGCCTGAGGATAAGTTGTTCTGGAGCCCACATTTGGAGCAAAGGTCCAGATAGAGAGATGAGACAATATGAAATGATTTTACCATTTTGGACATAGATGACTATGGATTTTAAATAGGAATTTAAGCTGGAGACAGATTATCAGAGTTAGCCTTCTTACTTACAATGTTATAACTTTAAAAAGTTATTTTGAACATCTACAAGTCTCATTGTTTCCCTAAAATGAAGAGAATAATATGTAATTCATGACGTTATGATGACAATATGATATAAGGCGTGTAAAGTGCTTACGCAGTGCCTAATACACAATAGTGAACAATATATTTTTTGGTTTATTTAAAAAACGAGAGTACTAATTAGGCTCAACCTAGCTTTCCTTCTGAGATCAGATATTGAGCTTCTTCAGGATGGTAGGCCATAGACAAATGAACCACATGTTCATGGATAGAAAAAAATCAATATTGTTAAAATGTCCATGCCATCCAAAGTGATATACAAATTCAATGTAACCTGTACCATTGTAATCATGTAAAAATTCCAGTGACATTTTTTAAAGTTTAGACTTTTTTAATAAATAAATAAAATTCAAATGGAACTACAGAAGACCTCAAGTAGCCAAAGCAATCTTGAGGGGAAAAAAAAGTTGGAGGCATCACAATTCCTGATTAAAAATTATGTGACAAAGTGGTTGGGTGTGGTGCACACCTATAATCCAAGCACTTTGGAAGTCTGAGGCAGGTGTATCACTTGAAGCCAAGAGTCTGAGACCAGACTGGCTAGTATGGTAAAACCTCTTCTCTACTAAAAATACAAAAATTAGCCAGGTGTGGTGGTGCACATCTGTAATCCTAGCTACTTGGGAGGCTGAGACATGAGAATCTCTTGAACCTGGGAGGTGCAGGCTGCAGTCAGCCATGATTACATCACTGCACTCCAGCCTAGGTGACAGAGCAAGACTCTGTTTCAAATAAAATAAAATAAAATAAAATAAAATAAAATAAAAATAAAAATTATGTCACAAAGCTATTATCATCAAATCAGTATGGTTGTAAAAACAGTATTGACATAAAAACAGACACATAGACCAAAGGAACAGAATAGAAAGCCAAGAAATAAGCCCATGCATATACATTTTTCTTCTTCTTTTTTTTTTTTAAGACAGAGTCTCGCTCTGTCACCCAGGCTGGAGTGCAGTGGGAAATCTCAGCTCACTGCTACCTCCACCTCCCAGGTTCAAGCAATTCTCCAGCCTCAGCCTCCGAAGTAGCTGGGATTACAGTTGCCCACCACCATACCTAGCTAATTTTTGTATTTTTAGTAGAGACGGGGGTTTCACCATGTTGGCCAGGCTGGTCTTGAACTCCCGACCTCAGGTGATCTACCCACCTTGGCCTCTCAATGTGCTGGGATTACAGGTGTGAGCCACTGCACCTGGCCCCAGGCATATACTATTAATTAATCTTTGACAAAAGTACCAAGAATAAAACATAAAGAAAAGTTACTCTCTTCAATTAGTGGTGTTAAGAAAACTGGATATCCACATGCAAAAGAATAAAACTGGACCCTTATACTATACCATAAAGAAAAATCAAATCAAAATGGATTAAAGAACTAAATACAAGACTATAAACTATAAAACTCCTAGGAGAAAACATCTTGGAAAAGCTGCATGACATTGGTCTTGCCAATAATTTTTTGGATAGGACACCCAAGGCACAAGAAATAAAAGCAAAAACTAAACAAGTGGGAGTACATCAAGCCAAAAACTTTGGCATATCAAAGAAAACAACAAAAGTAAAAGACAGCCTAGAAATTGGGAGAAAATATTTGTAACCCATAAATCCGTTAAGGAGTTAATATCCAAAATATATAAGGAATTTACATAACTCAACAGCAAAAAAATTAATAATCCAATTAAATATTACCAAAGAACCTGAATGGATATTTCTCCAAACGAAACAAAAACCTGGCCAATAGATAAAAGAAAAGATGCCCAATATTACTAATCTTCAGGTAAATGCAAATTAAAATTACAATGAGACATCACCTCACACTTCTTAGGATGGCTTTATCAAAAAGATGAGATCATAAGTGTTGGCAAGGACGTGGAGAAAAGAGAACACTGGTATACTGGTGGTGGAAATGTAAATTGGAACAGCCATTAGGGGACAGAGCATGAGGCTCATTGAAAAATTAAAAATAGAACTACCATGTGGGTCAGCAATCCCTCTTCTGGATATACACCCATAGGAAATGAAAGTAGTACTTGTAGATATATCTGCACTCACATGTTCATTGCAGCGTTATTCACAATAACCACCATATGGAAACAAAACCCAAATGTTTCTCAACAGATGACTAGATTTTTTTAAAAGCATAATAAAATATGAATGTGATTATTATTAAAATATATTATTATGAATTATATTAACATAGTATATTATTACTATATTGATAATGTAATATGTGTATTATATTACTTTAATATAATATATAATATACATAATTTATATATACATGTACATGGTGAAACTATTACTACAGATATGCACTTTAACATATCCATCATCTCACATGGTTATCTTTTTGCATATATATATAATATAATATATAGTATTCATATACATGAATATTATTTCAATTTTAAAAACAAGGAGATCCTGCCATTTGCAATAATATGAATGAACCTGGAAGACATGTTTAGTGAAATAAGCCAGACTCAGAAAGAAAAATATTGCACAATTTCTCCTATATGTGGAATACAAAAAAATAAAAATAAATAGCTGAATATGTAGAAACAGAGAATAGAACAACAGTGGTTACCAGAGGCAGAGGGTGGGAAAAATGGGAAGATATGTAGGATGAATAAATCTAAAGATCTAAATAAAGTGTAGTATAAAAACTATAGTTAATAATATTGCATTGTATCACTGCAAATTTTCTAACAGGGTAGGCTTTGGGTCCTCTAACCAAAAAAAAAAAAATTTAAGATGCAAAAAGATAACCATGTGAGATGATGGATATGTTAAACTGTGATATACATGTACATAGTTTCACCATGTACATGTATATCAAAACATTAAGTTGTATAACTTAAATGTATACAATAAAAAATAGAAATGTGAAAATGAAAGTAAAGTAAGAGAAACATTTTTTCAATCGAGGGACTCTTCCATTAATAAGCATCTCAAATTAAGTTAGAAGAGCTGCTTGAGATTTGCTACCAAATCATATGCTATACAATGTTAGTCCCAGAAGGTTAGTCACATGACTTGGGAGATACGAACCAGGAGCCTCCGTGCAAGTCTTTGAGTTGGAAATTAGTTATCTGAGGCTGGGTTCTGACGATGTCAACAAAAGCGAAGTGGTTCTGCGGTCAGAGAAGCAGCAGCACCTGTGGAGATGTGGCAACATAACCATGGTGTCAGAGGGACAGCGGCTCCTTTGGAGCACCTGTCCCAACAGATGTGCTTCTAAAAGTTATTCCTGGTCATTCAGGTCAGACTCTGCCATTCTAACCCTTCCAAAGGTTCTTTAAACAACTTAATTGCATATAATAAATCCCTTCTACTTAAACTAGCTACAGATAATTCTGTGTCATCACCTAAGAACCATGGCTGATATACTAAACTGATCTAAAATTCTTTATTTCAATTTGTCACCAAGAATGGAAAGCCATCAATTGCAGAAGCATTCTGGTTAGCAAGGGTCCCTTTGAAAACTGCATTTATTCATAACAGCCCATTCTTGGCACAGAATAGGCTTGACGTAGAATAAACGTGTGGGCATTTCTTGTGCTGCAAATGCCATAGTGAACAAAACAGCCAATACCTCTACTTTCATGGATTTTAACTCTAACTGGAAAAAATGGACAAAAAAAAAAAAAAACAATTACATCTGACAATCACGTGGTGAAAATGTTGACAACAAAATGTAGCAAAGTAATGTGATAGAAAATAACTCAAAGAGATAGAGAATGGCTTTACATGGATGGCTCAAGAAGACCTCTAAGGAGGAGAAATTGAACTGCAGACTGAGTAATGACAAGGACCTAGCCATATGAAGATCTAAAAGATGAGCATTCGGGGAATAAAGAAGAGCTAGTACAATGGCCCGAGGGCAAGAATGAGGTCACTGCAGCTGGATCACAGTGAACAAGGGAGAGAGTGGTGCTGGATGAGATCAAACAGATACATGTTTGAGTGGGGAACAATTGTACAGACTCTGACAGGATATGAAAACATCAATTACAATTGGTTAAATAGTTTTCCTTTTACAAATCAACCTAGCTCAACTTCACTAAGTGAATTTTTTACATGGGGAAAACAGATAGAAATTAATTTTAAAACAATAGTCACGCAGAAGCAAAGTGGAGATCAATGTCGTTGACTACACCAAAAAGTCCATCAGAAACAGCAACTGCCAGAGGCACACACAAAGACTTCTGGGGAAAGGTGGTTGCTTGGATGCATATGCTTTTTTTTGCTTCATCCTGATTTTAGTTAGAGATGAATTAATTATAATATGATAAATTTAGTTGGTGATAGGGTCAAAAGAGAAGAGAGAAATTAAAAACAAGAGTTGTATCAGGTCAGATAATATTCCTCCTCCACATACATAAATTTCTCTCTACTGTTTTACTTATGACTTTCAGCTCATTGTTCCTCACCCTGGATAGGTTAAACACTAAATTCTTGCACTTAAATCTTTTTCAACACCCAATCTGAAGTAACCCCACCCTGCCTTCTGAGTTGCTCTCTATCACATCACAGGTTTCTCCTTTTTAAGTCCTTTTCACTCTGAATTTATCCTTTCTTAAAAAGGTTTATTTATTGCGCATTTCCCTGACTAGAATTTTTCTTTATTCAAATGTGTGTCATTTTTCTGGTATATACCATAGTGCCTAAAAGTGTAAGTTCCAAAGAAAAACTACATGAGCTCAAATCCTACCTCAGGTATTCGCTACCTCTGTGACTAAAGTAATTTATTTAAATTTTCCAGGCTTCATCCAATTGTGTTGGAAATCAAGAAAAACAGTATCTATTTCATAAGGCTCTTGTGCAGATTAACAAGACAATGACTTTCTAGCATGAACCACGTTGTAGTAAATACTAATAAACTTTACTAGAAGTATTATTATACTATAACTTTCTTATTTGTCATAAGGATTCTATTAAATTTTATGTCTTCTTTAGACTGATTTTGATTTTGGAGACATTCAGACTTTTTTTTTCATACTTTAAGTTCTAGGGCACATGTGCACAACGTGCAGGTTTGTTACATAGGTATACATGCGCCATGTTGGTTTGCTGCACCCATCAATTTGTCATTTACATTAGGTATTTCTCCTAATGCTATCCCTCCCCCGACCCCCCACCCCACGACAGGCCCTGGGGTGTGATGTTCCCTGTCCTGTGTCCAAGTGTTCTCATTGTTCAATTCCCACATGTGAGTGAGAACATGCGGTGTTTAGTTTTCTGTCCTTGTGATAGTTGGCTCAGAATGATGGTTTCCAGCTTCATCCATGTCCCTCCAAAGGACAGGAACTCATCCTTTTTTATGGCTGCATAGTATTCCATGATGTATATGTGCCGCATTTTCTTAATCCAGTCTATCATTGATGGACATTGACTACCTAGATCTTGGACTTCCCAGTTTTTAGTTCTGTGAGACATAAATTTCTATTTTTTATAAATTAGTTTGTGGTATTTTGTTACAGCAGCATGAATGAAGTAAGACAAAGACCAAAATAAACAGAAGCCCATCTACTCTTCATAGATGGAAGACTTAATATAATTAAGGTGACAATAATAGTAGTCAAGAACATTCAGTAGAAAATGAATTATCTCTTCAGCAAATGATACTGGGACAACTGGATACCCAAATACAAAGGAATAAATTTGGAACCCTTTGTCTTGCCATATACAAAAATTAATCCCAAATGGATCAAAGATCCAGTGTAAAATCTAAAACGATATAAGTATTAGAGGAAAACAGAGGGGTAAATCTTCATGATCTTGGGATTAGACAATGGTTTCTTAAATACAGCAATAAACAGGCAACAGATGAAAAATAGACAAATTGAACTTTATCAAAACTTAAACTTTTGTGCCTCAAAGGGAACTATCTAGAAAGTCAAAATCAGTTCACAAAATGGGAGAAAATATTTCCAAATCATATATTTGATAAGGATCTTGTATAAAAATATGTAAAGAACTCTTTACATCTCAAAAATAAAAAGACAACTCAATTAAAAATGCACGAAGGGGCCAGGCGCAGTGGCTCATGCCTGTAATCCCAGCACTTTTGGAGGCCAAGGCGGGTGGATCACAAGGTCAGGAGATCGAGACCATCCTGGCTAACACAGTGAAACCCCGTCTCTACTAAAAATACAGAAAAATTAGCTGGGCATGGTGGCGGGCGCCTGTAGTCCCAGCTACTCAGGAGGCTGAGGCAGGAGAATGGCATGAACCCAGAAGGCAGAGCTTGCAGTGAGTTGTGATCGGGCCACTGCATTCCAGCCTGGGCAACAGAGCGAGACTCCGTCTTAAAAAAAAAAATGCACAAAGATAGTGATGTCAAAAGATAGAATACGAGGTTCCACATCACATTCCCTCACAGAAACACCAATATAAATATCCATCCGCACATGAAAATACCTTCACAAGAGTTCTAGATCACAGGTGAGAACTTACAGTACCCAAGTGGAAGACACAATCAGGAAAAGATGCACTGAATGGGGGAAGAACAGCTTTACTTTACCCAAGTCACCCCTTCCCCAAGCCCATGCAGCACAAGGCTAAGAGAGACCCTCTCTGTCCCAGGGCTCTCCTATGTGGAAAAGAAAAGTGAAGTGAGAATTGACTTCATTGCAGACGCCTATTCAGGCCTGCACCAACAGTCTCAAGCACCAGGCTGATTCGCATGAACTTAAGCACCAGGCTCACCCCAGAGCCAGGCAGGTCCCCACAGACCCAGGCTTCTAAACCACCCCAGCACTAGGCCAGCTCTCTTAGACCAAGTCACAAAACCAGTCCTAGTACCAATGAGGTCCTCACTAACTCAAAGCCAGGCTGGCACAAGTAGTTAGGTCACCAGGGCTGCACCACCCCTTCACACACTAAAGCTTCAGGCCAGCACCTTTGCAAGGCCAGCTCATGTAGATACAGGAACCAGACCCACCCCACTGCCAGACTGGCCCCAGTTTCAGGCCTATTCTATGGTTAGACTGCTACGTGGATCTAGGTTCTAGGCCTGCCTCAGTACCAGGCCAGTCCCCATGAAAACAGGCTATCAGCCCACCTCAGCACCAGGCCAGGAATGCAAACCAGGCACTAGACCAACCCCTATGGATTCAACCTACATGTCTGCCCCAGTGAGCGTCTGTGGAAGGCCAGTACCCATGGACCCTGGCACTAGGCTTAACACAGGTACAGCTCCGCTATGGAGGACTCAGTTTCCACCCTACCCCAGTTCCAGGCCGTCCCTCAAAAATGCAGACTCAAGGTCTGCTCCAGTGCCAGGCCAGCCCACATAAACCCAGGTTGTAAACTCACCCTGGTGGACCCAGGCTCCAGGCTCACAACTGCAGACCCATGTGTCAGGTCTGTTCCCACTGGACTGTAATGCAAGGCCAACCCTGTGGAAACAGATAGCAAGGTTATCTGCCTGGAGACCTCTACAGTCAAACTGCCTATAGTCTCTTCAACTGTTGGCTCACACAGGAATTCTAGACAAGCTGACTGGTGAAGGACTTTCCCAGCAGAAGACAGACTGTAAAGGCTACAAGAGATGATAACTTCTTCAAATGCAAAGACACAAAAGCAAGTTTATAAGAATCATGAAGGATCAGAAAAACATGATACCACCAAAGGAAATAAATAAATCAACAGTAATTGACCCTAAAGAAATGGAGATATATGAACTGTCTGACAAGGAATTCAAAATAATTGTCTTCAAGACTTCATGGGAATACATAACACAGATAAACAACTTTAAAAATTAGGAAAACAATGCATGAACAAAATTAGAAGTTCAATAAAAATATATAAACCATAAAAAGGAATCAAACAGAAATTCAAGAGAGGAACACAGTGACCTGAAAAATTCCATAAAGAGAGCTGCAAAGCAGACTCAACCAAGCAGGAGAAAGAATCAGCAAGCTTGAAGACAGATCGCTTGAAACTTGTCTCACTCAGAGGGAAAAAAAGGAAAAATAAAGTTAAAAAAGCCTTTGGTATTTCTGGAACACCATCCTGTATGTCAATGTATGTATTATGGGCTACCCAGAAGGAACAGAGAAAGAAAGAGAATCTAAAAGTATGCTTAAAGAAATGATAATAAAGAAAAGTGTCCCCAAATGTAGGAAGGAATATAAACATCCAGACCCATGAAGCCCAAAGATCTACAAAAGTTAGGACATAAGGATGTCTTCACCAAAACACAGTAGAATCAAATTGCCAAAATTAAGGATAAAGAGAGAAGTTTGAAAGCACTAAGGAAAAAGTGACTTATCACATACAAAGGAATAAAACTATTAGCAGATTTGTCAGCAGAAACCTTGCAGGCCAGGAGAGGGTGAGATAATATATTCAAAGTGCTGAAAGAAAAAGAAAGAGAACTATCAACACAAAATACTCAGAAAAACTGTTCAGAAATGAAAAAGAGATAAAACTTTCCCAGACAAACATAATCTGAGTGAGTTCATCACCACTGGACCTGCCTTAAAGGGAATACTAAAGGAAATTCTTCATGCTTGAAACAAAAGTGAGCTGAAATGAAAGGACACTAACTTACAACATGAAAACATATGAAAGCATAAACTCATTGGTAAAGATAGACTATTCTAATACTATAGTAGCCTAGAAATAAACCCACATATCTATTAACTCATCTTTGACAAAGGTGTCAAGAACTCACATTAGGAGGAAGAAGAGTCTCTTCAATACATGGTGTTAGAAAAACTGAATATTCACAAATGGAAGAATGAAATTGGACCCTTATCTCACACCATATACAAAAAGCAAATGAAAGTGGATTGACAACTTAAATGCAATACCTGAAACTATAAGGTTAGTAGAAGAAAACAGGGGAAAGAAAATCTTGATTTTGGTCTGGACAATATTTTAATCTGATACCAAAAGCACAGGTCACAAAAGCAAAAATAAATGAGTAGTATTGCATCAAATGAAAAGCTTCTTCACAGCAAAGGAAACAATCAACAAAGTGAAAAGGCAATCTATGGAATGAGAGAAAATATTTGCAAGCCATGTATATGATTAGGAGTTAATATCCAAAATATAAAAGGAACACATAAAACTCAATAGCAAAAAAATTTAAAAATGGACAAAGAATGAGAATAATCATTTCTCAAAAGAAAATATATTAACGTCCAACCAGTATTTGAAAAGATACTCAATATCACTTATTATTATAGTAATGCAAATCAAAATCACAATGAAATATCACCTCACACATGTAGGATAACTATATCAGAAAAAAGATAAATGTTAGTGAAGAAGTGGAGGAAAGAAAACCCTTGTGCACAGTTGGTGAGAATGTAAGTTGATACAGTCATTGGGAACACCGTATAGAGGTTCCCCCCAAAATTAGAAAGCTTCTGATCCAGCAATCTCACTTCTGGTTGTATATCCAAAGAAAATGAAATCAGTATCTTGAAAAGATACCTGTATTCCATGTTTATTGGAGTATTATTCACAATACAAGGATATAGCAACAATCTAATTGCCTGTTGGTAACTTAATGGATTAGAAAAGTGATTTTATATATACATAAATATTATTCAGCCTTAAAAGAAAAGAAATTCTTCCATTTGCAAAAACATGGATAAGTCTGCAGGACATTATGCTAAACAAAATAAGCCAGGCACAAAAAGACAAATATTGCATGTCCTCACTTATATGTAAAAGCTAAAATAATAAAACTCATAGAAACAGTGAATAGTATGGTGGTTGTGAGGGGCTAGAGCAGGGAGAAATGGAAATGCTGGTCAAGGTGCATAAAGTTGCACTTATGTAAAATAGGTTGTAGAGCTAAGGTACAGCAAAGTGACTATAGTTATTACTACAGTTTTGTATACATTACAGTAGATTTAAGAAGGTAGAGCTTAAGTTTCTCACCATACCAATAAAAGTGATTAACTATGTAAGGTGATGAGCATATTAATTATGTTGATTATGGTGATTACTGCCCAATGTATACACATATAAATCATCAATATGATTTATAAAAATTTCTTGAATATAAAATTGAATATAAAAATTTCTTGTCAAATATACCTCAATAAAGTAGGAGGAGGGAAAGAAAAACAGCATTTCAAGTCTTTTAAAATGGCTGCCATTAATTTCATGCCCTCAGTGCTCTAGATCTCAAGAAATCAATAACATTTTTCCAAAAAAGGTTTCATATTAGGTGAAAAAATAGCAGCTCTTTCTGTAGCATGAGTCTACAGGGAAACTACATGGGGTGCCCACTCTGGAATTATGCCACCTTGCCATTTACGTGGCATTCAGCTTTCTTAGAAACCTGGGTTCAGATAGGAAAAAGGGACTCTCACAGGCTTAAGTTTTAAATACGGAGAATTCAATTCCCCATTCAGGATGGGTATTTTTCAAACATGTCTCTCCAGAATATCTGCTTCTAAGACAAAGTCTTTCCATCAAAAGAGATAATTAATTCCTGGGAGAGAAAGCAATAGCTAAAAGACAAGGTCTCTGAATCTTTGTAGAAACCTCTTTAAATATACATGCAGTACAAGATAAAAATGTTTTTTGTTGTTGTTGTTGTTCACATCTCCAAAGCAAGATTCATCATGAATTGAGTGACTCATTTACATGTATTTCCTCCACACTTTCTTCATCTTACCCTGAGGGGACCAGAGCCATGTAAGATCATTTTTTTGTGAAAATGTTCAGAGGCTTTAGGCTAGAATAAAATATTTAGACTTACAAGCAGACTTTCTTAACAACTGTTGATTTGATATTGAATCACCTGAATAAACTCTTTTGAAGTGTGAAATATCTTTCACATTGAAACTTACTTATCCCAAGAAAAGATAATCTCAAATAAGATTGTGTCTGAGCACCCCTAAACATCATTAAGATCATCAAAGACAACAAAGGTAAGTTTTTCAATAGGGCTGAAGCTTATCAAAGATTGTTACTTTCTATATATAGTAATCAGTATTTTTCAACACTTTTCAACAGAGTAATAGAGTCTTGCATTCTCACTCCAATTATTCAAAAGGTAGTTGGTAAATATCATTAGCCTAATTTGACAGTTGAAATATTTGAGGCTTATAGAGATTAAGCAATTTGTGGAACCCATCTCTCTGATATTGGGTACCATGTTTTTGCCATGAGACACCTCCTTAGTGAATGAGACAAGGTATGAGGACTAAAACAAAATTTAAATACACTTCACACACACAAAAGACATAAATATGAATATTAAATGGCAAATCATCATCTCATTAGTCCAAGCACAAACATGGAGAAGCTTTCCTGGGATCACTTGCTCTGAATAATATAAAGCCCTGTAAAAGGAAAATTGGAGAACTTTCTTTGTGAGCTTAATGCATGGTCAAATGTTTCTCTGTATTATATTGATCACACTGTCAATTTATCCTGTCTCGTAGGCTTATACAGCCATAAAAATAAATGAAAGTCCTGTGTATGTCCCTAACAGTAAGGTAGATATATTCATATATGTTCTCCCAATTAATTATCGTAACAGTATGTGAGGTGAATAGTACTATCATTTTCTGGATGATAAGATTAAGATGGAAGGTGCCAAGAAATATACCCCAGGTAAAAGAAGTTATAGGTGGAAAAACGAGGATTCTGATCTGGTCTTTCTGATTCTCAAACTAACACACTTAACTATTGTGATAATGGTTTTTTAACACTTTGCAGAAGATTCTGGCTAGGGTCCCGTGCTTTGGAAGGGGATTGAGAAGGAATGGATAGGGCTGAGGGAGACGCTAAGCAAAAACAGCCCTTCAGTGAATGTAATACCACATTTTTCTTAATATTTAGGAGTTTCAATATATCATCATGTGTGTGTGTGTCTGTCTGATGATGAAGTTACTTCATATAAACTTGTCTCTGAAGTAGTATTAAAGTAATTATAAAAATTATGGCCATATCAAGGGGAAATTACAAGTTCAACATTGTTTATTATAACAATATAAGGCATGAGTTAAGACTTCGGAGGGAAAAAATTAACAAGCATAATCTGAAACTTAATATTGGGTCCAGCCTTGATTATCTGCTCGATCTTGGGAGGAACCTTAATTTCTATGTGCTTCTATTTCCTAATGTGTAAAATAAGTGTAAAAAGACAATAGTAACTAATACATAGGTTTTCAGTGAGGATTCAATAAGCAAATGTCTGTAAAAGCACTTGAAAAATGCTGTGTTCAGTAAATATTAGTTAATATTAACACTATAACTATTAATATTAGTCACTGAGATTGTGTCCTCATCTGTAAAATTGATAAAATGAGATCATGTGTGCAAAGCACATTCTATAATGTCATGCTTATAGCAGTTATTCAAAGGTGTATATTATTAGCCATTATAAAGTTAATAGGACTTAGACAATAGATTGTGAATTCTTTTATAGTAGCTCTTATATTCTTTCTTTACATTTTCATCACAAATTCACCACAAATTCACTGTTATTCTTATGTCAACTACTCTAAATAGTCTGCTAACTAAGTTTCATTATCTGGCTTCCAGCTCCTTACTGGATCTCAGCCCATGTCATAAAAAACACACAAAGACCTTCACTAGAGAAATATCCCAAGAATCCCCCTTCTTCAGATTCCTCTTTATCATTTCACTTATATTGTGCATAACATTTCATGTTTCATTATTTTCTTTAAAAAAAAAAAGAGAGAGAGAGAGACAGAGAACAAATTTTGAGTTTTGCATTCATGTGCTTTACATCTATATTCTATAGTCTTTTCAGGCTTAGTTGCCACTATGTGTGAATCATTCAACTTTTAGTTGTTACAGATGATAAAGTGTTCACAGATGGTCTCCTCCCTGCGTGCTACAAAAGTTTCTCATGTCAAAACTCTTAGCACAGTCTTCACCAGGGAGGCAATTTGAGTAAACCTCCAAAACCCAAAATTTTTTCCTGTCTCAGAAAAAATCATCATATCACAACCCAGTAGAATCCAAGAATTTATTATATTACATATTACAATGGAGAAGTTTAAACAAATTTAAAGATGTATCAATAAAAATTGTTTTCTTTTCAGGTATTGTAATTAACCACCATTTGAAATACATGGTGAATAGAAACAATGTGACAGAGTTTATTCTACTGGGGCTTATAGAGAATCCAAAAATGCAGAAAATCATATTTGTTGTGTTTTGTCATCTACATCACCACCATGATAGGAAATGTGCTCATTGTGGTCACCGTCACTGCCAGCCCATCATTGAGGTCCCCCATGTACTTTTACCTGGCCTATCTGTCCTTTATTGATGCCTGCTATTCCTCCGTCAATGCCCCTAAGCTGATCACAGATTCACTCTATGAAAACAAGACTATCTTACTCAATGGATGTATGACTCAAGTCTTTGGAGAACATTTTTTCGGAGGTGTTGAGGTCATCCTACTTACTGTAATGGCCTATGACCGCTACGTGGTCATCTGCAAGCCCTTGCACTATACCACCATCATGAAGCAGCATGTTTGTAGCCTGCTAGTGGGAGTGTCATGGGTAGGAGGCTTTCTTCATGCAACCGTACAGATCCTCTTCATCTTCCAATTACCTTTCTGTGGTCCTAATGTCATAGATCACTTTATGTGGGATCTCAACCCTTTGCTCAATCTTGTCTGCACTAATACCCACACTCTAGGACTCTTCGTTGCTGCCAACAGTGGGTTCATATGCCTGTTAAACTTTCTCTTGCTCCTGGTCTCCTATATGGTCATACTGTACTCCTTAAGGACCCACAGCTTAGAGGCAAGGTGCAAAGCCCTCTCCACCTGTGTCTCCCACATCACAGTTGTCATCTTATTCTTTATACCCTGCATATTTGTGTACATGAGACCTCCAGCTACTTTACCCATTGATAAAGCAGTTGCTGTATTCTACACTATGATAGCTCCTATGTTAAACCCCTTAATCTACACCTTGAGGAATGCTCAGATGAAAAATGCCATTAGGAAATTGTGTAGTAGGAAAGCTATTTCAAGTGTCAAATAAATGTGACTGGAGCCCAACATGATTCAACTGAGGCAAGGGTCAAAAGGACATTTTGGGTAATGTCAGCAAGGAATACTTATTGGATAAATAAAATAATTAACCACTGTGATCCATAGATGATGCCTTGAGGGGAGTCAAAATGGGTTCAAGAAAAAGGAGAAAACCTAACCGTGTATCATTCTCACAAACAGGGAAAATTCTACCGATTTGGGGCTTAGTTTCACTAGCTTCATCCATATATATGAAACTCATAGGTCTTCCTTCTAATAAATGTAAAATAAGTAATAAAATAAATATATCTATATTAAGTAATAATGTCCATAACAAACTGAGGGAGGCATTATTCTTATCCCCATTTACCAAAGAGGAAACTGAGAGAAGGGGACAGTGTCAAAATAGAAATATAAAATAGACAGTAATCAGAATCTCACTGATTTCCCAAACCATATGCTTAACTACCATGATACCCTTCCAGAAAGATCAGATCATTATAACAGCTATCATTTATTGAGACAAGGACTATGCTGGACACATTGTATATGTTAGTTCATTAAAAATTTAACTTTTTCATTAATAATTCTTTTGTTTCTATATATCAAAATTAATGGCCTTTGTTTTCTGAAATATTATGCTATCTAACTACTTCAGGGCTATAAAAGCAAAGAACTATTTAGCATCTGATGGGTAAACAATGAAGTTTATACCATGATTCCAAATGTCCTTGTAGGCTTCAGAACCATTTTGTATTACTCATGTTACCCTTTTTATACTGATAATCGACCAGAAAGAGTGATGGTTCAAATAAAGAAGATGTTTTGATATCAAGGAGAAATTTCTATTTATTAAATATACAGTTATACTCCATAAAGTACTTGCCCAATAGATAACAATAGATCCTACAAGGTACCATGTCTGGTATACCATAAACAGAATCAATGAATAAAAGGATTAATGAAAATGAATAAATTCAATAAAATATAAAGTAAAAGTAGTAGTGGAGGCTAGGAAAGTATTTTCTACCTTCAGACTAAGAATTCTGGTTGGACTTCATAGGGAAACCACATTTTTTCACTCTTATTGAAACAATGAGAAAGAAATTGAAACTGCATTCTCAGCATATGAACATGTAGTTTATCTTGATATTTTTCCTACCCCCAGTAAAATTTTATTATCTTATGTATATGGGCTGTTTATATTTTTCTATCAATCAGTTTGCTTTTTGGTAACATTTTCATATTAAAAGCTGTTTTGTTTGTATTTTGTTTTTGAGACGGAGTCTCTCTCTGTTGCCAGGCTGGAGTACAGTGGCGCGATCTTGGCTCACTGCAACCTCTGCCTCCCAGGTTCAAGTGATTCTCCTGTCTCAGCCTCCCAAGTAGCTAGGACTACAGGCACCTGCCACTATGCCTGGCTGGTAGAGATGGGATTTCACCATGTTGGCCAGGATGGTCTCGATCTCCTGACCGCGTGATCTGCCCACCTCAGCCTCCCAAAGTGCTGGATTGTAGGTGTGAGCCACCACACCCAGTCTAAAAGCCGTTTTTCAAATTATATAGCTACACACAAAGCAATTTCAGGATAACTGTATTCCACTTATTCCTTGCATTCTTTATTCCTTAATCAACAAATACTTTTCATCTCCAGGAATGTATCAGGCACATTGATAGTTCCTGGGGCTTAGTGGTGAATAAAGAGAAACCAGGGTCCTCTTTTCACAAAAGTTAGAATTACAACATAATACTATAAATAGTAAGATCATGGAATTACAGAGTGCTGTGAAAGCATGTTAGAAGGACACACAACAAAGACCTAGGAGATCTAAAAAGGATGCCTAGATGAAAAGACATCAAAAACAGAAGCTGACCAGGCACAGTGGCTCATGCCTGTAATCGCAGCACTTTGGGAGGCCAAGGAGGGTGGATTACTTGAGGTCAGGAGTTCAAGATCAGCCTGGCCAACATGGTGAAACCCTGTCTCTACTAAAAATACAAAAATTAGCTGGGCGTGGTGGCGCATGTCTGTAGTCCCAACTACTTGGGAGGCTGAGACAGAAGAATCACTTGAACCCAGGAGGCAGAGGTTGCAGTGAACCAAGATCTAGCCACTGCACTCCAGCCTGGCTGATGGAGCAAGACTCTGTCTCAAAAACGAAAAAAAAAAAAAACAGAAGCCAAAGGCAGAAAAGGGGTCAGCAGAATAAGTAGGCATAAGGTTGAGCTAAGAGTGCATCTATGAGATGGAATAGGTAACAAAGGCCAGAAGATGAGAAAGAGGCAGCAGGAAACCCAAACAATTCATTATGACTGTAATTATCAATTTATCTATTCATTCAACAATTATTTATTGAACCCGCACTGTGCACTGGTGTAGGACACTGAGATTGTAAAAGGGAAAATACAAGACATGAAGCTGGAAAGTAGGATATTGGTAAGATCAAAAAGGGTCTCATAATTGTGTTAAAACTAAATGCTAAGTACCATGGAGAAAATAGTGAAAGTACTTTTAAACTAGCAAGAAATGTAGCTGGATTTGTTTTGGGAATGATAACTCTAGCTACAGTATGGAAAATGGATTGAAGGGTCAAGCCTCCCAAGAGAAGAGCAGCTAGGAGGTAATTATAATGATTTAGGTGTGAATAAATGGGAGTCTGAACTTTGGTGACTCCCAAGAGACACCGAGTTTTAGGGACACTGTTGCATCCAGCTCAAATGCCCTTTGCCTGGTAAGTGAACTCATGCCCCACCTGCTGTGTCTGGGCTGCTAACAGCTCACAGCCCCACCCTTCCCTGGATAATTACACTACAGAAAATAGGAGGTGCCACACCCAGAAGATTATGCCCACCGTCAGGGCCCAGCAGTGGTCAATGACTAACAGACATGAAAGTTTAAAAGGTTGTTGTATAATACAATGTATCCTCCAGAGCTTCAACGGCTCCAGACTCAATTGAGGCAGACTTCAGTTGAGACCATATCTGAAGCCAGACTCCAGTTGAGATCATGTCCTTTCTTCCCTCTACCACAGTTAGCTTCCCTTAACCCCTTCTCCTTATAAGTCACTTTTGTAAAAATTCTCAATTTCAGATATGTATCTAAGAAACCCAAACTAACACACAGTAATAGAGACAGTTTAAGATACATTAATGAATTTTGAGGAAAATAACTTTATATAGGATGAAGATTAGAGAGAAAAGAGTCATGGATGAAACTATGTTTCTGCTTCAGAAGGAGGATACTGAGAAGATGGAACAGAGAAAAGATAAGCCTGCTTTGCCAGCTGAAGAGGCCTCCCCACCTCGAGTAGAACCTTTCCTTCACCCTTAGCAGAAGAAACTTCTTCACCCCTATGGAAGGTTTAACCTTGCGTTGCCTGAGGAAATTATATGTCCTTCCCTGAAGCAGTTTCCCAGCAAAACAATGTTGATTTCCCTCAAGACCCATCTTCATCATCCCTCTTTGCTTCTAGACCTGTAACTAGACTCGAGTTTAAACTCAAATGTGAAAGGTTAAGCTGTGGTGTTGCAGATGGCATCTGAACTCACTCCCAGAAGACGATAAACGTTAACTTCAGAACAAATCAAGAAAACTTGATTTGAATGCAAATAAAGCAATGTTCTTCCCTAAAAAGTCTTGAGTTTATCACACAGTTTCAGTCAGGCTAGCTGAAGGTGTGTTAGTAAGGGAGTGGAGAAAGAGAAAACAAATGTAGGATTATTCTGTTTATCTCTAAGTGCTCATGGAATGTACACCACAATAGAAAATACACTGGGCCACGGTACAAGATGCAATACATTTCAAAGGACTAAACCATACAGAACACATATCTCATAATAGTAGGCTTCAACTAAAAATTTATAACAAAAATATAACTAAACATCCCCCAATTATTTATAAATCAAGCAACACAATTCTAAATTATTCATATATTAAAGAAGTGCCAATGAAAAATTTTTAATGAATTTTAACTGAAAGACAGTAAAAACAAAAAAAACTAGATGCAGCTAAAGAATTGCTCAGAGAGAAATATATAACTTTAAATGCAAGTATTAGAAAATAAAAAAGATTAAAGGAAATGAACTAAGCTTTCATCTCCAGAAGCTAGAAATAGTAGAGCAAAATAAATGCACAAAACATGGTATAATATGAATAGTAAGTAGAAGACAGATATACTTGAGATAAAATTAATTTAAAAATAGGGAAAATACATAAGGACAAGGGTTGGTTTTGTGTAAAAATTAATAAAACTAATGTCCTTAGAAAAATTGGTTTTAAAATATAAGGAAAAAAACAAATTATGAGAATCAGCAATGAAAAGGCTATGCTGTAGATTCTACAGATCTTAACAAGATAATAAAAAGACATTACAAATGAATTTTGCTAATGTCCTTGCCAGTTAAAAAGAAATGGACCTCTGCTTTGAAAAACACACCTTTCTATTTTTTGTCATTCAAAAATGTCTGTAAAAACAATATTTCGATTGAATAAAGAAAATGTATGCATCCTCCATATGCAAAGAGTATTACAAGTTAATTAGAAATCATTCAGCTACAAAATGGGCAAAGGACAAGAACAATTTCCAAAAGAAGAAGAATGAATGGTCATTCTTGAAAAACTTTCAACTTCGTTAGTATGAAAAATCTTTCAACTTCATTAGTAACCAGAGAAATGCAAATTTAAAATATTTGTACTAAGCAACTTTTAATTTTTATTGAAAAATAATAATTGTACATATTTATGGGGTAAATAGTGACATTTTGATACACATAATGTATAGTGATTAATTCAGGGTAATTAGCATATCCATTATCTCAGACATTTATCATTTCTTTGGAAAAACACAACTTTCTAAACACACATGCACACACAGACAAGCAAAACCTGAATAAGATACATGTGCTAAATTCGCTCTTGAAAAATTTTCCCCTGACTTCTCCCAAAAATATCAAGATTACATCCCATGTAGCTTTATCAGTGAATTCTACATATCACTTTTAAAAAATACTACCAATTTTATATCAACATTTTCAGGGATTAGAGAAAATGAAAAAGGGCATTACAAGAAAAAATATCAGATAAATATCTCTCATTAACACAGACACAAAAATTCTAAACCCAATATTTAGCAAATAAAATACAGCCATATATAAAAATAATAATGTATCATGAGCAAGTAAGTTTTGTCCCAGGAATGAAAATGTTGATTTCACATTCAAAATCAATTCATGGCCACATGCGATTGCTCACACTGTAATCCCAGTACTTTGGGAGGCTGAGGTGGGCAGATCGCTTGATCTCAGGAGTTCAAGACCAGCTGGGGCAAAATATTGAGACCACCATCTATACAAAAAAAAATTTTTAATTAGCCAGGTGTGGTGGCATGTACCATAGTTCCAGCTACTTGGTAGGCTGAGGTGGGAGGATCGCTTGAGCCCAGGAAGTTAAGGCTGCAGTGATTGGTGATTGTGTCACTGCACTCCAGCCTGGGCAACTGAGTGAGACCCTGTCTCAAAAAAAAAATCAATTCATGTAATTCACTGCATGAACAAAATTAAGTAGAAAAAATATATGATCAATTCAATAAATAGAGAAAAAGCTTGATAAGATTTAACATACATTCATGTTTTTTAAAATGTTTAAGAAAACTAGGAATAGAACTTCCTCAGTAGGATAAAGCGTATTAACAAACACCATACAGCCAACATTTACTTAATGAGGAAATACTAAAAACTTTCTCATGGGAGTCAGAAACAATGCAAAACTATCCATTATAATTACATCTGTTCCACATTGTGCTGGAGAATCTAACCAGTGCAATAAGGCAAAGAAAAGAAATAAGTGGCATTTATAAAAATGACTAGGAAAAATTTTAAACTGTCATTATTTGCATACAATAATTTTGTGTGTGTAGCAAATCAAAATTTATAAACTATTAAAACTAATACATTTATGAGATGCTACATTGTATTAAAAATTTACAATTAAAAAAATGCAACTACAAGATGACTGACTAGATTCGGCTGGGGTACACCTCTTCCACAGAAAGGAACCAAAATATCAAGTGGATATTCACACTTTAAACAGATTGTCTGAGAAACAGCACTGGAATTCAACAAAGAGGCAACAGGAGACACTGAGGGTGAAGGAAGGAGATATGAGGCTACCTGTTTGGGGTTGCTAGGAGCCAAGAGCTGCCCCAGACCCAAAGAAGGGGTAAGTGAAGGAACCCCAGAGCTCCATATTTCTGCTGCAGACTTCCATAATCCTAGCTGTAGGAGAGTCCCTCAACCCCATAGGCCTCCAGACTGGCATAGAGAGCTGCCTGGACATCATGCACAGGTGCTTCTCAGACTTACATGGAGTCTCACAAGCTTCCAAGCACTGGACAGCTGCAGCATGGTGCCATTCTGGGAGCCCATTCCCCAAGGATCTCTGTCCTGCCCTGAGGCTGCTACTGCCACTGCTGGCTGCTGGGCCAGGTAGTGAAAGGGGAGGCCAGGTGCTCTCACATGCCTCAAGGAGAGGTTCCACTGCTTCTGCTGTGGGACTGAGGTCATTTGGACCACATGCCCCATGTCTGCCAGTCTCTCCCAAAGCCGCCTGCCTAGCCATTCCTATGGAGAGAGGACCACCCTTCCAAGCAGCAGGCCCACAGTGCAGCCACTGTTGCCCTACGTGAGTGTTCCTCCAGTGGCCAGGGACCAGCTTGCCCTCCCTATCACAGCCAGCACTTGAGTCCAGGAACCCCAAGGGCAAGGCTGCTGGCCTGGTCCTATCCCTGCACAATTCAAGCATGCCATCCAGGAGCATGGAGATGAGATTTGTGATCTGATGTGATCTGATCTGGAGCCCCCCACAGCCAGAAGTGAGAGGAGAGTGTGGTGTGGGTTCGTACTGTTGTACAGGAACTGGGTACCCCTCCCTTCATAGGACCAGAACAGGAAGGGTGTGGCCTGAGAGCCAAAGTTTCTGCCCCAGACAAGGAGTTTCATGGCCTGGGGAGGCTTTTCCATCTGAACACAGACAGCTTAGGATGGGCCTAGAGGTTCTGGCCAGCTGTTGGTGGCCTAATGCTGTAGGGAAACCCATGGGGTTGGAGGTTTGGGGGCGGAGCAGGTCCCACTGCCACTTCCAGCTGCTGATTCATGGCCACACTTCTCCTCTAGCATGAAGGTGCTTTGATGCAACAGAAGTGCCTCTGCCCCTTCCTGGAGGGTTGCTCCAGTAGCCTGAGACGTGACCCCAAACCCCCAGTAGAATCAGCACTTCCACCAGCCTTGGAGAGCCTGGTTCAGGACTTCCCAGACCCAGCCATGCCTGGCTTTGCCCCATCCAACCACTGTAGCAGCAGAGCATAGGACAGGGAGTCCTGGGAGTTCCATGGCCCCACCCCTTACATGAGACACCCAGAGCTTCTGTAATGAACAAAATCCAAGGAAAAATCCCACTGCTCCCTCTCTCTTGGAATGCCGCCTACTGGCTTGGAAATCAACCTGCACAGCTTATTAAACTGCCCACAGAACTGCACAGTGCTCAGCTGGCTTGTATCTGCAAGTGCCACCTACTGACCTGGAGGTAAAACTAAACAACCCAATACAATCCCTGCTGACAGAAGTGCACAATGCTGGGGAATAAAATAAGAGACTTCCCCCTGCTCATCTTTGCAGGAAGCAGTGATCCTTCTCACATGCCCAATTCACTGCCGCTACAACTTACAAAAAATAGTATTTGAGAAAACCATTACACTAAGGCCATCTATCATCAAAAAATTCATAGATTTGGCCCCCTGAAAGTACCCGGAAGCAAAGTCAAAGGACCCTACACAATATATCCTATAGTCACACCCTCAAGAGGGGAATAAATTTCTATCCAAACAAAAGTAAATCCAAAAAGGAACCAGCATAAGAATTCTGGGACCATAGAAAAAAAGAGTATTGCGACACACCCAAAAGATCACACTACCTCTCTAGCAATGGACACTGCTCCCCACATCCCAGGCTGCTCCAGCTTCAGCCACAGCTCAAAGGGATCCTGGCACAGCTCAGGTTGTCACTCTAGAGGGCACAAGCCATAAGCTTTGGCAGCTTCGATGTGGTATTAAGTCTGCTGGTACACAGAGTGCAAGAGTGAAGGTGGCTTGGCAGCCTCCATCTACATTTCAGAAAATGTATGAGAAAGCCTAGATGCCCAGGCAGAACCCTGCTGCAGGGGTGGAGCCCTTATAGAGAACCTCTAATGAGGCCCCACACAGAGTCCCTACTAGGGCACTGCCTGGTGGAGCTGTAGAAAGGGAGCTGCTACACTCCAGAACCCAGAATGGTTGAGCTTGCCACCTAAGCTTGGAAAATTCACAGGGCAGAGCAGCCCAAGGCTTTTGGAGTCCACTCCTCACAACAGTGTGCCCTGGATGTGGGACATAGAGTCAAAGGAGAGTATTTGGGAGCTTTAAAGCTTAATGACTGCCTCGCTGGGCTTTGAAATTGCATGGGGCCTGTAGCCCCTTTCTTTTGGCTGATTTCTCCCTTTTATAAAGGGAAAGTTTACCCAATGCCTGTACTACTATTGTTTCTTGGAAGTACATAACCTATTTTGATTTTACAGGCTTGTAGATGAAAGAAACTAATCTCCAGATGAGACTATGGACTTGGACTTGGTACTTTTGAGTTAATGCTGGAATGAATTAAGACTTTGGGGGACTATTGGGAAGAAATGTTTGTGTTTTGCAGTGTGACAAAAACATGAGATTCGGGAGGATGGGGTGGAAAGATAGAGTTTTGATATTTGTTCCCACCCAAATCTTATGTTGAAATGTCACCCCCAATGTTGGAGGTGGGGCCTAATGAAAGGTGTTTGGGTCATGGAGGTGGATCCCTCATGACTTGGTGGTGTCCTCGTGATAGTGAGTGAGTTCTTATGCGACAGGGTTATTTTAAAGTCTGTGGCATCTTCCCCACACTTTGCTCCTGCTCTGGCTGTGTGACATGTCTGCTCCCACTTCACCTTCCACCACGAGTAAAAGCTCCCTGAGGCCTCCCCAGAAGTCAAGAAGATGCCAATGCCATGCTTGTTCAGCCTGAAGAACTGTGAGCCAATTAAACCTCTTTTGTTTATAAATTACCCGGTCCCAGGTATTCCTTTATAGCAACGTAAGAATGGTCTAACATATTCACCATCATAAAAACATGCAAAAGTATAAAATTTACAGGTCTTATAAAGCAGTTACACAACTGAAACTACAAAGCCATTAGGTAACAATTACCATTATGACAGGAACAAAAGCTCACATATCAATATCAACTATGAATGTAAATGATTAAGTGCTCCACTTAAAGGATATAGACTGGTGGAAGGGACTAAAAAAAAATCCAGGCCGGGCACAGTGGCTCATGCCTGTAATCCCAGCACTTTGAGAGACCAAGGCATATGGATCACCTGATATCAGGAGTTTGAGACCAGCCTGTCCAACATGGCAAAACCCTGTTTCTACTAAATATATGAAAATTAGCTGAGTGTGGTGGCACACATCTGTAATCCCAGCTACTTGGGAGGCTGAGGTAGGAGAGTTGCTTGAACCTGGGAGGCAGAGATTGCAGTGAGCAGAGATTGTGCCGCAGCACTCCAGCCTGGGAGATGGAGCTAGATTCCATCTCAAAAAAAAATTCAACCAGATGCTGCTTATTACAAACCCACATAATTGTTGAAGACCATTTGCAGGCTCAAGGTAAATGTGTGGGAAAATATATTCCAAGCAAATAAAAACCCAAAGCAAGCAAGAGTAGCCAAATTTATATCAAACATAACAGACTTTTAAGTCAACAACAGTAAAAAAAGAAAGACAAAGAAGATTATTATCTAATGACAATGTATAAATTCAACAAGAAGTTACAACAATCACAAATACATAAGCACTCAACATGAGAGCACCCAGATACATAAAACAAATACTACTAGACCTAAGAAAAGGTGTACAGTGGAATAGGAACAGCTCCAGTCTGCAGCTCCCAGTGAGACTGACGTAGATGGCAGGTGATTTCTGCATTTCAAACTGAGGTACCTGGTTCATCTCATTGGGACTGATTGGACAGTGGGTGCAGCCCACAGAGGGTGAGCCAAAGCAGGGCAGGGTGTTGCCTCACCCAGGAAGTGAAATGGGTCAGGGAATTTCCCTTTCCTAGCCAAGGGAAGCTGTGAGAGACTGTACCAGGAGGAACAGTACACTCCTCCCAGATACTGTGCTTTTCCCATTGTCTTCGCAACTGGCAGACCAGAAGATTCCCTCCAGTGCCTGGCTTGGTGGGTCCCAGGCCCACAGAGCCCAGCAAGCTAAGATCCATTGACTTGAAAATCTGACTGCTAGTGCAGCAGTATGAGATTGACCTGAGATGCTTGAGCTTGGTGGGGGGAGGGGCATCTGCCATTGCTGAGGCTTGAGTAGGCAGTTTTATGCTTCAGCGTAAACAAAGCTGCCAGGAAATTCGAACTGGGTGGAACCCACCACAGTTCAGCAAGGCAGACTGCCTCTCTAGATTCCACCTCTGTGAGCAGGGCATCACTGAACAAAAGGCAGCAGCCTCAGTCAGGGACTTATAGATAAAGCCCCCATCTCCCTGGGAGAGAGAACCTGGGGGAAGGTACAGCAGGGGCATAGCTTCAGCAGACTTAAATATCCCTGCATGACAGCTCTGAAGACAGCAAGATTCTCCCAGCTCAGCCTCCGAGTTCTAATAATGGACAGACTGCCTCCTCAAGTGGGTCCCTGACCCCCATGTAGCCTGACTGGGAGACATCTCCCAGTAGGGGCCAACAGACACCTCATACAGGAGAACTCTGGCTGGCATCTGGCTGGTGACCCTCTGGGAAAAAGCTTCCAGAGGAAAGATCAGGCAGCAATAGTTGCTGTTCTGCAGCCTCCGCTGGTGATGTCTAGGAAAACAGGGTCCAGAGTGGACCTCCAGCAAACTCCAACAGACCTGTAGCTGAGGGTCCTGGCTGTTAGAAGGAAAACTGACAAACAGAAAGGAATGCCATCAACATCAACAGAAAGGACATCCACACCAAAACCCCATCCATAGGTCACTTACATCAAAGACCAAAAGTAGATAAAACCACAAAGATGGAGAGAAACCAGTGCAGAAAGGCTGAAAATTCCAAAAACCAGAATACCTCTTCTCCTCCAAAGGAACACAACTCCTCATAAACAAGGGAACAAATCTGGATGGAGTTTGAATGAGTTTGACAAATTGACAGAAGTAGGCTTCAGAAGGTGGGTAATAACATACTCCTCCAAGCTAAAGGAGCATGTTCTAACCCAATACAAGAAAGCTAAGAACCTTGAAAAAAGGTGAGAGGAATTGCTAACTAGAATAACCAATGTCTAGAGGAGCTTAAATGACCTGATGGAGCTGAAAAACACAGCAAGAGAACTTTGTGAAGCATACACAAGTTTCAATACCTGAATCAATCAAGTGGAAAAAAGGATATCAGTGATTGAAGATCAACTTAATGAAATAAAGCAAGAAGACAAGATTAGAGAAAAAAGAGTGAAAAGAAATGAACAAAGCCTCCAAGAAATATGGGACTATGTGAAAAGACCAAATCTACGCTTGGTTGGTGTACCTGAAAGTGACAGGGAGAATGCAACCAAGTTTGAAAACACTCTTCAGGATATTATCCAGGAGAACTTCCCCAACCTAGCAAGGCAGGCCAACATTCAAATTCAGGAAATACAGAGAACAAAACAAAGATATGCCTCAAGAAGAGCAACCGAAAGACACATAATTGTCAGATTCACCAAGGTTGAAATGAAGGAAAAAGTGTTAAGGGCAGCCAGAGGGAAAAGTCAGGTTACCCACAATGAAAAGGCAATCAGACTAACTGAATCTCTCTGCAGAAACCATACAAGCTAGAAGAGGGTGGGGGCCCATATTCAACATTCTTAAAGAAAAGAATTTTCAACCCAGAATTTCATATCCAGCTAAGCTAAGCTTCATAAGTGAAGGAAAAACAAAATCCTTTACAGAGAAGCAAATGCTGAGAGATTTTGTCACCATCAGGCCTGCCTTACAAGAGCTCCTGAAGGAAGCACTAAAAATAGAAAGGAAGAACCAGTACCAGCCACTGCAAAAACATGCCAAATTGTAAAGACCATCGACACTATGAAAAAACTGCATCAACTAACGGTCAAAACAACCAACTAGCATCATAATGACAGGATCAAATTCACACATAACAATATTAACTTTAAATGTAAATGGGCTAAATGCCCCAATTAAAAGACACAGACTGGCAAATGGGATAAAGATTCAAGACCCCTCGGGGTGCTGTGTTCAGAAGACCCATGTCACATGCAAAGACACACATAGGCTCAAAATAAAGGGATGGAGGAAGATCTACCAAGCAAATGGAAAGCCAAAAAATGCGGGGTTTGCAATCCTAGTCTCTGACAAAATAGACTTTAAACCAACAAAGATCAAAAGAGACGAAGAAGGCCATTACATAATGGTAAAGGGATCAATGCAATAAGAAGGGCTAACTATCCTAAATATATATGCACCCAATACAGGAGCACCCAAATTCATAAAGCAAGTTCTTAGAGACCTATAGAGAGACATAGACTCCCACACAATAATAATGGGAGACTTTAACACCCCACTGTCCATATTACACAGATGACTCAAACAGAAAATTAACATGGACATTCAGGATTTGAACTCAGCTCTGGACCAAGCAGATCTAGTAAACATCTATGGAACTCTCCACCCCAAATCAACAGAATATGTATTCTTCTCAGCACCACGTTGCACTCATTCTAAAATTGACCACATAATTGGAAGTAAAACACTCCTCAGCAAATGTAAAAGAACAGAAATCACAACAAACTGTCTCTCAGGCCACAGTGCAATCAAACTAGAACTCAGGATTAAGAAACTCACTCAAAACCGCTCAACTACATGGAAACTGAAAAACCTGCTACTGAATGACTACCACGTAAATAGCGAAATGAAGGCAGAAATAAAGATGTTCTTTGAAACCAATGAGAAAAAAGACTCAAAATACCAAAATCTCTGGGACACATTTAAAGCAGTGTGTAAGGGGAAATTTATAGAACGAAATGCCCACAAGAGAAAGCAGGAAAGATCTAAAATCAACACCCTAACATCACAATTAAAAGAACTAGAGAAGCAAGAGCAAACACATTCAAAAGCTAGCAGAAGGCAAGAAATAACTAAGATCAGAGCAGAACTGAAGGAGACAGAGACAAAGAAAAACCCTTCAAAAAATCGATGAATCCAGGAGTTGGTTTTTTCAAGAGACCAACAAAATTGATAGACCGCTACCAAGACTAATAAAGAAAAGAGAGAAGAATCAAATAGAGGCAATAAAATTTGATAAAGAGGATATTACCATGGAGCCCACAGAAATACAAACTACCATCAGAGAATACTACAAACACCTCTATGCAAATAAACTAGAAATTCTAGAAGAAATGGATAAATTCCTGGACACATACACCCTCCCAAGACTAAACCAGGAAAAAGTTGAATCCCTGAATAGACCAATAACAGGCTCTGAAATTGAGGCAATCATTTATAGCCTACCAATCAAAAAAAGTCCAGGACCAGATGGATTCACAGCCGAATTCTACCAGATGTACAAAGAGGAGTTGGTATCATTCCTTCTGAAACTATTCCAATCAATAGAAAAAGAGGGAATCCTCCCTAACTCATTTTATGAGGCCAGCATCATCCTGATACCAAAACCTGACAGAGACACGACAAAAAAAGAAAATTTTAGGCCAATGTCCCTGATGAATATTGAAGTGAAAATCCTCAATAAAATACTGGCAAACTGAATCCAGCAGCACATCAAAATGCTTACCCACCACAATCAAGACACCTTTATCCCTGGGATGCAAGACTGGTTCAGCATACACAAATCAATAAATGTAATCCATCACATAAACAGAACCAATGACAAAAACCACATGATTATCTCAATAGATGCTGAAAAGGCCTTCAACAAAATTCAGCAGTCCTTCATGCTAAAAACTCTCAATAAACTAGGTATTCATGGAACGTATCTCAAAATAATAAGAGCTATTTATGACAAACCCACAGCCAATATCATACTGAATGGGCAAATACTGGAAGCATTCTTTTTGAAAACTGGCACAAGACAAGTATGCCCTCTCTCACCACTCCTATTCAGCATACTATTGGAAGTTCTGGCCAGGGCAATCAGGGAAAAGAAAGAAATGAAGGGTATTCAAATAGAAAAAGAGGAAGTCAAATTGTCTCTGTTTGCAGATGACATGATTGTATATTTAGAAAAGCCCATCGTCTCAGCCCAAAATCTCCTTAAGTTGATAAGCAACTTCACCAAAGTCTCAGGATACAAAATCAATGTGCAAAAATCACAAGCATTCCTATACACCAATAAAAGCCAAACAGAGAGCCAAATCATGAGTGAACTCCCATTCACAATTGCTTCAAAGAGAATAAAATACCTAGGAATCCAACTTACAAGGAATGTGAAGGACCTCTTCAAGGAGAACTACAAACCACTGCTCAAGGAAATAAAAGAGGACACAAACAAATGAAAGAATATTCCATGCTCATGGATAGGAAGAATCAATACCGTGAAAATGGCCATACTGCCCAAAGTCATTTATAGATTCAATGCTATCCCCATCAAGCTACCACTGACTTTCTTCACAGAATTGCAAAAAAATACTTTAAATTTCATATGGAACAAAAGAAAGAGCCCACACAACCCAAGACAATTCTAAGCAAAAAGAATAAACCTGGCGGCATCACGCTACCTGACCTCAAACTATACTACAAGGCTACATAACCAAAACAGCATGGTACTGGTACCAAAACAGATATATAGACCAATGGAACAAAATAGAGGCCTCAGAAATAATGCTACACATCTACAACCATCTGACCTTGACAAACCTGACAAAAACAAGGAATGAGGAAAGGATTCCCCATTTAATAAATGTTGCTGGGAAAACTGGATAGCCATATGCAGAAAGCTGACACTGGATCCCTTCCTTACACCTTATACAAAAATTAATTCAAGATGGATTGAAGACTTAAACATAAGACCTAAAACCATAGAAACCCTAGAAGAAAACATAGGCAAAACAATTCAGGACATAGGGGTGGGCAAAGACTTCATGAGTAAAACACCAAAAGCAATGGCAACAAAAGCCAAAATTGACAAATGGGGTCTAAATAAACTAAAGAGCTTCGGCACAGCAAAAGAAACTATCAGTAGAGTGAACAGGCAACCTACAGAATGGGAGAAAATTTTTGTAATCTATCCATTTGACAAAGGGTTAATATCAGAATCTACAAAGTACTTAAACAAATTTACAAGAAAAAACAAACAAGCCCATCAAAAAATGGGGAAAGGGTATGAACAGACACTTCTCAAAAGAAGACATGTATGCAGCCAGAAAACTTATGAAAAAATTCTGATCATCACTGGTCATTAGAGAAATGCAAATCAAAACCACAATGTGATACCATCTCACACCAGTTAGAATGGTGATCATTGAAAAGTCAGGAAACAACAGATGCTGGAGATAATGTGGCAAAGTAGGAATGCTTTTACACTGTTGGTGGGAATGTAAATTAGTTCAACCACTGTGGAAGACAGTGTGGCAATTCCTCAAGGATCTAGAACTAGAAATAGCATTTGACCCAGCAATCCCAGTGCTGCGTGTATACCTAAAAGATTATAAATCATTTGACTAGAAAGACACATGCACACGTATGTTTATTGCAGCACTGTTCACAATAGAAAAGTCTTGGAACCAACCCAAATGCCCATCAATTGTAGACTCGATAAAGAAAATGTGGCGGCACATATACTTCATGGAATACTATGCAGCCATAAAAAAGGATGAGTTAATGTCCTTTGCAGGGATATGGATGAAACTGGAAACCATCATTCTCAGCAAAGTAACACAAGAAGAGAAAACCAAACACTGCATTGTTGGGAGCAGGTCCCCCAAATTCTGGCCATAAACTGGCCCCAAAACTGGCCATAAACAAAATCTCTGCAGCACTGTAACATGTTCATAATGGCCCTAATGTCCAAGCTGGAAGGTTGTGGGTTTACAGGAATGAAGGCAAGGAACTCCTGGCCCGCCCAGGGCAGAAAACTGCTTAAAGGCATTCTTAAGCCACAAACAATAGCATGAGTGATCTGTGCCTTAAGGACATGCTCCTGCTACAGTTAACTAGCCCAACCTATTCCTTTAATTCAGCCCACCACTTTGTGTCCCATAAGGGATACTTTTAGTTAATTTAATATCTATAGAAACAATGCTAATGACTGGTTTGCTGTTAATAAATACGTGGGTTAATCTCTGTTCAGGCTCTCAGCTCTGAAGGCTGTGAGACCCCTGATTTCCCACTTCACACCTCTATATTTCTGTGTGTGTCTTTAATTCCTCTAGCGCCAATGGGTTAGGGTCTCCCCGACTGAGCTGGTCTCGGCACTGCATGTTCTCACTCAGAAGTGGGAGTTGAATGATGAGAATACATGGACACCAGGAGGGGAACATCACACACTGGGGCCTGTCAGGGGGTTGGGGGCTGGTGCAGGGATAGCATTAGGAGAAATACCTAATATAAATGAAGAGTTGATGGGTGCAGCAAACCAACATGGCACATATATACCTATGTAACATACCTGCACATTGTGCACATGAACTCCAAAACTTAAAGTATAATAAAAACAAAAATTCAAAACCATAGAAGAAAAAAGACATTGTAAAGTTCCTCAATTTGCTTGAGTAGTCATTATTATGTTATAATAATAAAATTTAAAAAGAAAACTTGTCGGCCAGGTGCAGTGGCTCATGCCTGTAATCCCAGCACTTTCGGAGGCCAAGGTGGGCAGATCACGAGGTCAGGAGATCGAGACCATCCTGTCTAACACGGTGAAACCCCATCTCTACAGAAAAAATTAGCCAGGTATATGTGTCCATATGTTCTCATTGTTCAATTCCCACCTATGAGTGAGAACATGCGGTGTTTGGTTTTTTGTCCTTGCAATAGTTTGCTAAGAATGATGGTTTCCAGCTTCAACCATGTCCCTACAAAGGACATGAACTCATCATTTTTTTATGGCTGCTTAGTATTCCATGGTGTATATGTGCCACATTTTCTTAATCCAGTCTATCATTGTTGGACATTTGGGTTGGTTCCATGTCTTTGCTATTGTGAATAGTGTCACAATAAACATACGTGTGCATGTGTCTTTATAGCAGCATGATTTATAATCTTTTGGGTATATACCCAGTAATGGGATGGGTGGGTCAAATGGTATTTCCAGTTCTAGATCCCTGAGGAATTGCCACACTGACTTCCACAATGGTTGAACTAGTTTACAGTCCCACCAACAGTGTAAAAGTGTTCCTATTTCTCCACATCCTCTCCAGCACCTGTTGTTCCCTGACTTTTTAATAATCACCATGCTAACTGGTGTGAGATGGTATCTCATTGTGGTTTTGATTTGCATTTCTTTGATGGCCAGTGATGATGAGCATTTCTTCATGTGTTTTTTGGCTGCATAAATGTCTTCTTTTGAGAAGTGTCTGTTCATATCCTTCACCCACTTTTTGATGGGGTTGTTTGGTTTTTTCTTGTAAATTAGTTGGAGCTCATTGTAGGTTCTGGATATTAGCCCTTTGTCAGATGAGTAGATTGCAAAAATTTTCTCCCATTCTGTAGGTTGCCTGTTCACTCTTATGGTAGTTTCTTTTGCTGTGCAGAAGCTCTTTAGTTTAATTAGATCCCATTTGTCAATTTTGGCTTTTGTTGCCATTGCTTTTGGTGTTTTAGACGTGAAGTCCTTGCCCATGCCTATGTCCTCAATGGTATTGCCTAGGTTTTCTTCTAGGGTTTTTATAGTTTTAGATCTAATATTTAAGTCTTTAATCCATCTTGAATTAATTTTTGTATAAGGTGTAAGGAAGGGATCCAGTTTCAGCTTTCTACATATGACAAGCCAGTTTTCCCAGCACCATTTATTAAATTGGGAATCCTTTCCCCATTGCTTGTTTTTGTCAGGTTTGTCAAAGATCAGATAGTTTTAGATATGTGGCATTATTTCTGAGGCCTCTGTTCTGTTCCATTGGTCTATATCTCTGTTTTGTAACAAACCTGCACGTTGTGCACATGTACCCTAAAATTTAAAGTATAATAAAAAAAAAAAATATATATATATATATATATATACACACATTTAAGGCTAAGGCTGGAGGATCCCTTGAGCCCAGAAGTTCAAGGCTGAAATGAGTCATGATCGTGTCACTGCACTCCAGCCTGGGCCACAGATCAAGACCCTGTCTCAAAAACAGAAAGACAACTTTTTGCAACTCAAGTTTCAATCCTTAACAAAAAAATTTGAAGTGGTACAAATCTTTCCTTTACCATATACACTTTATTTCAAAATATAGGGCTGCAGATAAATTAAGAATTATTTTCCAAAGAAGTTATTTGAGTCTCCTCTTTTCAAAAAGAAAAAGAATTAACAAATAAGTTAAACTGCAAAAATAAAATTTAGGAAATAAAGAACAACCTATAACACATATTCAAATCAACTGACAAATCAGCTAATTTAGAAGACTATGGGTGTATTATTCCTGGAAACCATCAAGGGAAGTACAGAAAACCATCTGCCACAGTGGATGAAGAAGTTGACTTAAGATTGACTGCTTAATCTCTAGACATCACTTCTCACTCCATGGTCTATAAATTGCTTCAACTAAGCTCCTCCCACTTTCTTTATAAAACTGTGTTGTGCATTTTTGGCAAAAAGATTTTAGACAAATTGTGAAGGTCAAATTCTTTTTGACATACCAAGCCACAAACTTTGAAACTGTTTCCCAGCTTTTACCATTGTAGATTATAAAACATCAAAAGCAGCAAGACTGTCATATGGGCAATATTATGTTTAAGCTGTGTTAAAGTTAAGCAAAATTTTGCATTGAGGCAACATATGTAAAAGTGAGTTATAAACTGTAAATATACGTGTTACATGTTCAAACTTCTTTAATATAGAAATGTAAAATGGATGCTTCAGTTTTTTTCAACTATGGATAAAAATAATATTTAATGCTAATTTTTTCAGAAAAAAAGTTAAAATGGAAAAAGAAATTTTTGAAGGAAGTAAGTACAGTGTATGATATACCAAAAAATCAAATAAATTTATTCTTTTTCCAGCAGTGCTATTCGGAAAATGTTATAGAAGTTAAAACCTGTTTTTGAAAATAAGCAAGGCATAGAAATAAAAAGAGAAATGTAAAAAAAAAAAAAATTAGCCAGGCATGGTGGCAGGGGCCTGTAGTCTCAGCTACTCAGGAGGCTGAGGCAGGAGAATGGCGTGAACCCAGGAGGTGGAGCTTGCAGTGAGCCGAGATCGTGCCACTGCACTCCAGCCTGGGCAACAGAGCCAGACTCCATTTCTAAAAAGAAAAAAAAGAAAACTTGTCAATCCCAATTATGAATAAAGTTAAAAAAATAGAAAAAAATTAAAAAATTTAAAAAGCACAGATTTTTAAAAAAGTGTACAGCCATGTAATAATAGTGGGGGACTTCAATACCCCCACTGATGGCACTAGACAAATCATTGAAGCAGAAAATGAACAAAGAAACTGTGAGGTAAAACTGGACTCTAAACCAAATGAACCTAATGGACACTTACAGAGCATTCTACCCAACACATGAAAAATATACATTCTTCTCATCTGTGCATAGAACATTCTCAAAAATAAACCATATACTAGTCTACAAGGCAAGTCTCAATAAATTTTTTTAAATTGAAACCATAACAAGCATTTTCTTGGATCACATTGGAATAAAATTAGAAATAAATATTAAAAGGATCTCTCAAAACAATACAAATCCATGGAAATTAAACAACCTGTTCCTGAAAAAACTTCATATCAATGATGAAGCAAGGCAGAAATTTTAAAGAAATTGGAAACAAATGGAAATAGAAACACAGCATCTCAAAACTTCTGATATACAGCAAAAGCAGTGCTAAGAGGGAACTTAATAGGGTTCAATGCCTACATCAAAAAAGTAGAAATATCTCAAGTTGTCAACCTAATGTTGTACCTCAAGGAACTAGAAAATCAAGAACAAGCAATAGCCAAAGTTAAAAGAAAAAAAACTACACAGATCAGAACTAGGTAAAATTGGAACCAAAAAAATATGTAAAGGATCAATGAAATTAAAAGTTGTCTCTTTGAAGAGATGAACAAAATTGGCAGACTGCTAGATAGAGTAACCAAGAAAAAGAGAGAATATTCATGTAAGTACAATAAGAAATAATAAATGTGACATTGCAATTGATACCACAGAAATACAAAAGATTATCATAAACTACTATGAGCATCTCTACACAAATAAACTAAAAAACCTGGAGGAAAAGTATATGTATTTCTGAAAACATATAACATCCCAAGATTGAAACAGGAAGAAATAGAAATGCTAAACTGACCAGTAATGACTAATTAAACTTAATTAGTAATTTTAAAACTTCCCCCAACTTGCCAAGAAAAGCCAAAGACCAGAGAGATTTATAACTGAATTCTACCAGATGTAAAAAATAGACTGGTACCAACTCTATGGAAGCTGTTTCAAAAAAATAAAGAAGAGAATCCTCCCTTACTCATTCTATGAAGCCAGGATCACTCTGATGCCAAAGCCATTCAAGGGCACATACATACACAAATACTACAGACCAATATCCCTGATCAATATCTATGCAAAAATCCCCAAGAAAATACTAGCAAAACAAATCCAACAGCACATCAAAAATAAAATGCCCTACAATCAAGTGAGTTTTACTACAGAGATGCAAGAATGGTTAAACATATGCAAATCAATAAATGTGATTCACCATATCATATGAATTAAAAATAAAAATCATGTGATGATCTCAATAAATGCAGAAAAGGAATTTCATAAAATTCAGCATCTCTTCCTGATAAAAACTCTCAAAAAAACTAGGCATCAAAGGAACAAAACTCAAAATAATAAAAATTATATTCAGCAAACCCACAGCCAACAGTATACTGGACAGGATACTGTTTAAAGCATTCCCCTTTAAGAACTGGAACAAGACAAGGATGCCCACTTTCAACACTCCTACTCAATATAGTTAGTACTAGAAGTTGTAGCTAGAGAACTCAGGAGAGACAAATAAAACATATCCAAATTGGAAAATAGGAAGTTAAATTATTTCTGTTGACTGATAAGATGATCAAAAAAAAAAAAAACAAAGACTCCTCCAAAAGACTCCTAGATTTCACAAATGACTTCATTAATGTTTCAGGATACAAAATCGACATGCCAAAATCAGTAGCATTTTTATATACCAATAACAATCATTCTGAGAGCTAAATCAAGAAGTGAATCCTATTTACAATAGCTGCAAAAAGAGTAAAATACATACAAATAAACTTAACCACGGAGGTGAAAGATCTCTACAAGGAGAACTACAAAACACTGGTGACACAATCATCGATGACACAAACAAAAATCCTATGCTCATGGATTGTAAGAATAAATACTCTTAAGATGGCAAGCAATCTATAGAGTCAATGCAGTTTCTATCAAATTGCCAATGCCATTTTTCACAGAATTGGGAAAAGTCCTAGAATTCATATGGAACTAAAAATGACCGTGAATACCCAAGGCAATCCTAAGCAAAAAGAACAAAGCTGGAGGCATTACATTACCTGACTTTAAATTATACTCCAAGGCTATAATAACAAAAACAGCATGGCACTGATACAAAAATAGACACATAGATCAATGAAACAGAATAGAGAACCCAGAAATAAAGCCACATAGCTATAACCGACTGATTTCCAACAAAGGTGACAAAAATATGAACTGAGGGAAGGACAACCTATTCAATAAATGATAAATTGGATAGCCATATGCAGAAGAATAAATATGGACCTATATCTCTCACTATGTAAGAAAATTAACACAAGATGGATAAAAAGACTTAAATGTAAGTCTGAAACTATAAAGATCATAGAAGAAAACCTAAGAAAAGCTCTTCTGGACATTGCCCTAGGCAAAAAATTTATGACCAAGTCCTCAAAATCAAACACAACAAAAATAGATAAATGGGACTTAATAAAATTAAATAACTTCTGCACAGCAAAATAGTTAACAGCATAAACAATTTTAAAAATGGGAGAAAATATTTGCAAATTAAGCATCTGACAAAAGGATAGTATCAAGAATCTACAAGGAACTCAAATAAGAAAAATAATAATAATAATCCCATTTAAAAGTGGGAAAAGGACATAAACAGGCATTTTTCCAAAAAAACAGACATACAAGCAGAAACAAACATGAAAAAGTGCTTAACACCACTGATCATCAGAGAAATATAAATTAAAGCCACAATGAAATTCCATCTTACACCAGTCAGAATGGCTATTATTAAAAAGTCAAAAACAACAGGTAATATGCACTATTGCTAGGAATAAAATTAATAAAACCTGCATGAAAAACAGAGGGAGATTTATCAAAGAACTAAAAATAGTACTGCCCTTTGATCCAGCAATCCCACTACTGGGTAGCCACCCAAAGAAAAAGACATCATTCTATCAAAATGACACTTGCACTATGTTCTTTGCAGCACTATTCACAATAGTAAAGACACGGAATCAACCATCAACAGATGATGGATAAAGAAAATGTGAGATATATAGATAGATATCACAAATGTGAGATATATATACACATACATACACACACACACACACACACCATGGAATGGTACTCAGCCATAAAAAATGTAATCTTGTCTTTTGCAGCAATATGGATGGAACTCGTGGACATTATTCTAAGTTACATAACCCAGGAACAGAAAGCCAAATGCTACATGTTCTCACTTTTTTTAAGTAACTAAACAGCATATTTTTATTTAGTTTTTTGTTATTATTATACTTCAAGTTCTAGGATGCATCTGCAGAATGTGCAGTTTTTTTACACAGGTATACACGTCATGGTCATTTGCTGCACCCATCAACCCATCATCTACATTGGGTATTTCTCCTAATGCTGTTCCTCCCCTAACCCCCAATCCCCCAACAGGCCCCAGTGTATGATGTTCCCCTCCCTGTGTCCATGTGTTCTCATTGTTCAACTCCCACTTATGAGTGTAGATGTTCTCACTTTCAGTAAGAGCTAAACAATGGCATACATGGCCATACAGAGTGAAAAAGTAGACATTGGAAACTCCAAAAAGTGGGAGGGTGGGAGAATGGTGAGAGCTGAAAAATTACCTACTGGGTACAATGTTCACTATGCAGGAAATGAGTACACTTAAAGCCCAGACTTCACCACTACGCAATATATCCATGGAACAAACCTGCCCATGTACCCTTAAAATCTATTTAAAAAAAAAAAAACAGTTCTTTGAGAAATCTCCAAACCACTCTCCAAAGTAGCTGAGCTAATTTACATTCCCACCAACATTATGTAAGTGTTCCCTTTTCTCTGCAGCTTCAGCAGTATCTATTATTTTTACTTTTTATCTAAAAGTTCAAAATATTTTTTAAATGTACAACTACAAAAAATTGGTAAAAGCAATTTAAAAATATCTAAATAAACAGAGAGATATTCCATGTCCATGGATTTGGAGACAGGATACTGCTATTATTTCCACATTAATAATTAAAGATTTTGAAAAAAATGAAAAACAAAGCATAACAAATTATAAAACAAGATCTATTCACTTATCTGGCTATTATTTGGGGAAAAACAAGAATAGCGTGTGAGAATAAACGTCACTATCTATCCTAATCTTGATAAAATGGTAAAAGCACAGTTCCCAAATTTCAAAATACATAAATTGGACTTTATCAAAATTAAAAATGCTTCTGAATCAAAGTACCCTATCAAAAAAGTGAAAATCAACCCAAAAAATAGGAGAAATATTTGTAAATCATATATCTGATAAGAGTCTTGTTTCCAGAATATATAAAGAACTCTTACAACTCAACAAAAAAAGGTAAACAACCCAATTTGAAAATAAACAAAGAATTGAAAAAGACATTTTCCCAAATACGATATACATATAGCTAATAAGCATATAAAAATATGCTAAATATCTTTGGTCATTAGGGAAATGTAAATCAACATTGCAATGAAATACCACTTCACACCCAGTGGATGGCCATAATTTTTTTAAATGGCAATTAACTAGTGTTGGCAAGGATATTGAATAATTGGAAATCTACTACAATTACTAAAGGAAATGTAAAATCTATGGATCTGTGAAAAACTGTTTGGTTGTTCTTTAAAAAGTTGAACATAGAATGACCACCTGACCCAGCAATTCCACTCCTATGTATATACCCAAAAGAATTAAAAACAGGTGTTTGAACAAACTTGTACACAAGAGTTTATAGCAGCACTACTCACAATTGTGAAAACAACCTAAATTTCTATCAGTCTGTATGAATGGATAACCAAATTGTGGTATGCCCACAATAAAGTACTGATGCATGCTACATGGATGAATCTTGAAAGCATACTAAGTGAAAGAAGACACTAAAGGTTGAAAATTGCATAATTCTATGTATATAAAATGTCCAAAATAAGCAAACTAATAGGAACAAAAAGCAGATTAGTGGTTACCAGGGACTGGGGAAAAGGGGAAATTGGAATGACTGTTCAACTATTTGGAGGCAATGAAAATGTTCTGCAATTAGACAGTTGTAATTATTGTAAAACATTGTGATTGTACCCAAAGCCAATTGATTTTACACTTTTAAATACTCAAAAAATGAATTTTTTCATGTAATTTTTATGTTAATTAAAGAAATCACAACACAAAAAGTATTTTGAAATAAATGAAATTTAAAGCACAACATATCTGAATTTCACGGAAGTAATAAAAGTTCTAAAAAGGAAATTTGGGTCACAAAATGTATACATTAAAAATAAATAGGCCAGGCACAGTGGCTTACACCTGTAATCCCAGCACTTTGGGAGGCCGAGGTGGGTGGATCACAAGGTCAGAAGTTCAAGACCAACATGGTGAAACCCCTTCTCTACTAAAAATACAAAGATTAGTGAGGTGTGGTGGCGGGCGCCTGTAATCCCAGCTACTTGGGAGGCTGAGGCAAGAGAATCACTTGACCCCGGGAGGCAGAGGTTGCAGTGAGCCAAGATTCGTGCCAGTGCACTCTAGCCTGGGTGACACAGCAAGACTCCATCTCAAAATAAATTAATTAATTAATTAAAATAATGTCTGAAAACATTATCAAAAGTTTTGTACTACAGAAACAGAAAATAACAACAAATTAAGCAGAAACTAAGTAGAAGATAGGAAATAATAAGGATTAGAACAAGAATCAATGAAATGTAAATTTTAAAAATAGAAAAATCAATGAAACAAATATCTGATTATTTTAAAAGATCAATAAAATTGATAAACAATTAGCTAAATTAATGTGAAGGAGCAAAAGATGGAAAGAAGTAAGGGGAGAGAGAGAGAAAAGACAACTCATGTCAATAATGAAAGTGCATATAGCCTTACAGATTCCACTTAATGATGAACACTATCCCTCTAAGATTGGGAACAAGACAAGGATGTGCACTCATCATTTCCATTCAGCTATGAAACCTAGGTCTAGCAATATACCCTAGGTTTCAGCCATTGCAAAAATATAAGAAAAGGAAATAAAAGACACACAGATTGCAAAGGAAGAAACAAAATTATAAAAATACGTTTATTTGCAGATGACATAACTATGTAGGTAGAAAATTTAAAGTATTCTACAAAAAACTAATAGGCCTAATCAGTAAGTTTAGCAAAGTAACAGGATATAATGTCAATATTTTAAAAATCAATTGTATTTCTACAATAGCAACAAACAATTAGAAATTGAAATTAGAAACAAAATACTATATAAAACATTATTTTAAAACATGAAATTTGAGGAGCAAATTATAACAATCAATTCAAGACCTGTATATGAAAAGTAGAACACACTGGTCAGAGAAATTAAATACATAAATAAACGGAGAGATATACCATATTAATAAATTAGAAAACTTAATAATTATTTTACCATATCATTCTATATTTTCAATGCAATTCCAATCAGAATTTTTGGAGATGTTGACAAGCTTATCCTGAAATTTATATACAAATGTGCAAACTTAAGAGGAACTAGAATAGCAAATAATTATCAAAAAGAAGAAAGATTAGTTCTTACTCTACCTAATTTCAAGATTTAGTATAATGTACCAGTATCAATACTGTTTGGTATTGGCATAAGGATAAAAATATAGCTCATTAAAATATAACAGAATGTCCAAAAATACATCTAAATATATAAATTTTTAAAAGAATGCCAAGGCAACTCAATATTTTTCAACAAATTATGCTGAGTCAATTGGATACCCATAAGAAAAAAAAAAACTTCAGCCATTACCTCATACAATGCACACACACACAAAAATGACCTTAAAATGAGTTAGAGATCCTCATGCTAAATCTATAAAAATTCTACAAGAAATTGTTTTGACCTTAAGGAAATCCTGCCATTTGTGACAATGTGGAAAAACCTAGAGGACACTATGTTAAGTGAAATAAGCCAGACACAGAAAGTCAAACACTGTATAATCTCACTTGTATGCAGAATCTAAAGAGTCATACTCATAGAAACAGAGAGAATGATGGTAGAATGATGGTTGCCAGGGCCTGGGGAATGAGGGATATGGGAATATATTTATCAAAGAGAACAATCTTTCATCTATAAGATGAACAGGTTCTGAGGATCTCATGCATAGCATGATTAGTAATGTATGCATTAATTTTCTGTAATAACTATTACACAATGTACACCTAGATCAAATCAACATTTTATCTACCTTGGATATATAAAATCTTTGTCAATTAAATATTTTTAAATTTAAAAATTAAAATTAATTAAGTGGCCACAATTAGTTCCATGCCCTCACTGCTCTAGACCTCAAGCAACTATTACCAGGTTTCCAGAAAAAGGTGTAATGTTGATTTTTTTAAAAAAGAAGCTTCCTGTGACATGAATCAACAGAGAAACTACATCACAGGTCCACACACAAGTTACGCTACCTTGCTGCTCAAACAGCATTCAGCATTCTTAACAACACAGGCTCAGATAGAGAAAGAGGACTCATAGGATTAGGTTCCAAGTGTAAAGAATGAAATTCTTTATTCAGGATTTGTTTTTTGTTTTTTTTTTTAAACATGTCTCTCCAGAATACTGCTTCTGTGGCAAAGTTTTTCCATCAAAGGAGATAATTAATTCCTAGGAGAGAAAGCAGCAGCTATAAAATAAGATTCCTGAATCTTTACAGAAACCTCTTTAAATATTCATGCAGTACAAGACAGAAATGTTTTTCTTCTTCACTTATCCACAGCAAGATTAATCATGGACAAAGTGATCCATTTATAACTGTTTCCTCCACACCTTCTGCCTCTTGCACGTGGAACCAGAGCCATATATAATCAATTCTTCATAGTGTTTCCAGTGAATTGATTTTAATTCAAGTCCCAGGTTTTCTGTGAATATTTTTGAGACTTACACCAGATAAAAAGATTTATAGTCATAAGAACACTTTCTTTATTGAATTATAACTGATATACCAAAAAACTACACATTTAATGTGTACAGTTTTTTAACAACTGTGATTTAACATTGAATCATCTGAATAGGCTCTTTCCATGTGTTAAATCTTTCACACCAAAACTTACTAATTCCAAAAGAAGATCAGTTTGAAGATGATTGTGTCTGAACACTCCCAAACATCATTAAGATTATCTAACTAAGACTACTAAGGTAAGTTTTCTAATAGTACCGACGCTTCTTAAAGATGGTTACTTTAAGTAGTCAGTAATCATTATTTTTCAACACCTCAAACATAGTATATAGAGGCTTTCATCCTCATCCCAATGTTTCAAAAGATAGTAAATATAATTAACCTATTTGACAGTTGAAAATTTTGAGGTTCTTAGAAATTAAGCAATTTGTAGGACCCAGCTCTCTGACACCGGGTGCTTCTGCCATGATAATCAGACTAGCCATAAAGATTAAAACAAAATTAAAATACACATCGTATACACAAAGGACATAAATATGAATACTAAATTGCATAAATCGTCAGCTGTTTAGTCCAAGCACTAACATGAAGAACCCTTCCTGGGATCAACTGCTATGGACAGTATGAGTCACTGTGCCTTCTTCAAGAGTAATGTTGGAGATTATTCTTCCTGAGGTTATTGCATGGTTAATGATGCTCTGTTTATTGCTCTAATGATCAATTCTTACGATCCCTTAGCTGTGTACACACTTATAAAAGTAAAGAAAGTCCTATATGCATCCACAGCACTGTGGTAAACATTTTCTTATATGTTCCCTCAATCAATTATCATAACAACCTGTAAGATGATATTGTTATTCTCACTTTATAAATGAGGAAACAAAGATGAGAGGTGCCAAGAAACGAGCCCTGGCTTAAAAAAGTTGCAGGTGGAAAAACAATGATTCTAATCAAATATATTTTTAATTCTAAATCTAATATACTTGGCCACCGTAGCAGTTATTTTCTTTCTTTTTTTTTTTTTTTTTTTGAGATGGACTCTCGCTCTGTTGCCCAGGCTGGAGTGCAGTGGCCCGATCTCGGCTCACTGCAAGCTCCGCCCCCCGGGTTCACACCATTCTCCTGCCTCAGCCTCCCAAGTAGCTGGGACTACAGGTGCCTGCCACCACACCCAGCTAATTTTTTGTCGCTTTTTTTTTGAGACGGAGTCTGGCTCTGTTGCCCAGGCTGGAATGCAGTGGCATGATCTTGGCTCCCTGCAATCTCTGCCTCCTGGGTTCATGCCATTCTCTTGCCTCAGCCTCCCAAATAGCTGGGAATACAGGCACCTGCCACCACGCCCGGCTAATTTTTTGTATTTTTAGTAGAGACCGGGTTTCACCGTGTTAGCCAGGATGGTCTCGATCGCCTGACCTCGTGATCCACCCGCCTCGGCCTCCCAAAGTGCTGGATTTATAGGCATGAGCCACCTCTCCCGGCCAGTAGTCATTTTCAACATTTTGCTCAAGAGTCTGGGGGCCCACGACTTGGTGTGGGGGAGCGGTGTTGAGGAAAGAGCTGGGACTAAGGGAGAAGCTAAGATAGATGTACCTTCAATGATTCGATACCACATTTTTCTTAATATTTGAGAGTTCAAAGATGTCACTGTGTTGTGGGTGGGGAGGGGGGTACTGCTAATGAAATTGCTCCATACAAATTGCCTCTGAAGTAGTATTAAAGTAATTATAATCATAATGGTCATATCAAAAGGAGATTATTAGTTCAACATTGTTTATTATAACATAACAACATAGGGCATGAGCTCAGAATTTGGAGAGAAAAAATTAACTAGTATAATGTGACTAATCTTGACTCTGCCCTTTATTAAACTGCTTGATCTTGGATGGGATCTTTAACTTCCCTATGCTTCTACTTCCTAATATGTAAAATAAGTATAAAAATGATAGTACTATTTTCTGGGTTTATTTTGTGATTGCCTGCAAAAAGAAATTTAGAAGACACTAGTGCTCAGTATGTTTTCGTTAATATTATCAATATTATGAGTGTTATAATGTTAATATAAATAATATTACATTATTGTATAATATAAATATCATTGTGTTAACATAACTATTAACATTAATCACTAATATTGCTGCCTTATCTGAAAATTTGATGAAATAATACTGGTCACCTAGGATGTTAAAAGTGTTCACTGTAATCATGTGTGCAAAGCACTTACTACTATGCCTTTTGCAAGGCAATTAATTATTAAAGGGCATATAATATTAGTTATTATAAAGTTAATTAGATTTAGACAATAAGCATTATGAATTATTTTAGTAGCTCTTATATCCTTTTTTTATATTTCTATCACCAATACCCAGTTACTTCTGGTTTTTTTAGGTGGAGTCTCTCTCTGTCACCCAGGCTGGAGTGCAGTGGCGTGATCTTGGCTCACTGCAATTTCTGCCTCCTGAGTTCAAGTAATTCCCCTGCCTGAGTCTCCCAAGTAGCTGGGACTACAAGCAAGCACCATCACGCCTGGTTAACTTTTTGTATTTTAGTAGAGATGGGGTTTCACCATGTTGGCCAGGATGGTCTTGATTTCCTGACCTCGTAATCCACCTGCCTAGGCCTCCCAAAGTGCTGGGATTACAGGTGTGAGCCACCGGCCCAGCCACCCAGTTACTTCTTATGTCAAGTACTCTAAATACTCTGCCCACTGGGGTTCCTTTCTCTGGCTAACACCTGCTTTGCGGAACTTCAGCCCACTTCATCCAAGACACACAAAGACTTTTACTCGTGGGATATTCCAAGATTCCTACTCCTCAAATTCCTCTCCATCTTCCCACTCATACTCACGGTAACCTACCAATGTTCCCCATTTCCTAAAGAATAAATGGCAAATTCCTTAGCTTTACACCATGGTCTTTAAATTCATTGTCCATCTCCCTTTTCAGGTTTAGCTGCTACTGTGTATCCAATCTACTACTTCAAATTGAGCTCTTAGGCCTCCCAGATGGTTGAGTAAACACACATGACATCCTGACTTTGTTCACAAGAGATCCTAATATTTATACTCTTCACAGAGTCTTCACCAAGTAATCTTCAAGAACTGAGAAACTTTATTAACATCTCAAGAAAAATCTTATAAGAATTTACAGTTTAATAAAATTCAAGCATTTATTATTAAAATGGAGATGTGTAATAAATTCAAAGTTGTATTAATAAAAAATGTTTTCAGGTAATGCAATTAATCATCACATGAAATACATGGAGAATAGGAATAACGTGACAGAGTTTGTTTTACTAGGGCTTACAGAGAATCCAAAGATGCAGAAAATCATATTTGTTGTGTTTTTTTGTCATCTATATCATCACTGTGGTGGGAAATGCGCTCATTGTGGTCACCATCACTGCCAGCCCATCACTGGGGTCCCCCATGTACCTTTTCCTGGCCTATCTCTCCTTTATAGATGCCTGCTATTCTTCTGTCAATACCCCTAAGCTGATCACAGATTCACTCTATGGAAAGAACACCATCCTATTCAATGGATGCATGACTCAAGTCTTTGGAGAACATTTCTTCGGAGGTGCAGAGGGTATCCTACTTACTGTGATGGCCTATGACCGCTATGTGGCCATCTGCAAGCCCTTGCACTATATGACTATCATGAACCAGTGTGTGTATGCCCTGCTAATGGGAGTGGTGTGGATGGGAGGCTTTCTTCATGCAACCATACAGATCCTCTTCATCTTCCAATTACCTTTCTGTGGTCCTAATGTCATAGATCACTTTATGTGTGATCTGAACCCTTTGCTCAACCTCGCCTGCACTGACACCCATATGCTGGGACTCTTCATTGCTGCCAACAGTGGATTCATCTGCTTGTTAAACTTTGTCCTCCTGCTGGTCTCCTATGTGGTCATCTTGCGCTCCCTAAGGACTCACAGCTTGGAGGCAAGGCACAAAGCCCTCTCCACCTGTGTCTCCCACATCACAGTTGTCATCTTATTCTTTGTGCCCTGCATATTTGTGTACATGAGACCTGCAGCTACTTTACCTATTGATAAAGCAGTTGCTATATTCTACACTATGATAACTCCTATGTTAAACCCCTTAATCTATACCTTGAGGAATGCCCAGATGAAAAATGCCATCAGGAAATTGTGTAGTAGAAAGGACATTTCAGGTAACAAATAAATGTAACTAGAGCTCAACATTGATTCAATTTAGTCATGTCCTTTGTAGGGACATGGATGAAGCCGGAAACCATCATTCTCAGCAAACTATCGCAAGAACAAGAAACCAAACACCTCATGTTCTCACTCATAGCTGGGAATTGAACAATGAGAACACATGGACACAGGAAGGGGAACATCACACACCGGGGCATGTTGTGGGGTGGGGGGAGGGGGGAGGGATAGCATTAGGAGATATACCTAATGTTAAATGACAAGTTAATGGGTGCAGCACACCAACATAGCACATGTATACATATGTAACTGACCTGCACGTTGTGCACATGTACCCTAAAACTTAAAGTATAATTTTAAAAAAAAAAGAAAAAGTCAAAAGGACATTTTGGATAATTGCAGTGGGACAAATTGATTGGATGAAGAAAACATTCACCATATGATTCACAGATTCTGCATTGAGGGGTATAGAAATGGTTCAAGGAAAGAGAGAAAACAACTGAGGACAACTCTGCATATTTGGGAAATTCTACTAAGTTGGGGCTTAGTTTTACTAGTTTCATCCTGTATATGGATTCATAGGCTTTCTTCTCACAAACAAAAGAAATAATAGCATATATTGGTATCTAGCAGTAATGTCTGTAACACTTCAAAGAGGTAAGCACTACTATTATCTTCATTTTACAAGTTAGGAAGCTTACAGGAAGGAGAAGATATCAAAATAGATATATCGACGAGCTGGTAACCAAACTATGACAGATTTTCCAGACCATACTCTTAACTGCTATGATATTCTGCCACAGAGTAATAATGAAAAGGTCAGTTAATTATACTACTTACCATTTTGGGACCACAGACTATGCTAGGCACAATGCATATATTAGATTGTTATCTAACTAAAAATATAAGAAATTTTATTAACAACTCTGCTTTTTTATTTATCATAATTGATGGTCGTTTGTTTTCTTAAACATTACGGTATCTAACCACTTTAAGACTGTAATAGCAATGGGCCATAACCTCTCATGGGTAGGTAATGAAGTTTATATCATGTTTCCAAATGTCAGTGTAGGCTTCTGAACCATTTTGTATTGCTCAAGGCACCCATATTATGCTGAAAACCCATCAGAAAGAGTGACGGCTCCATTAAAAAAGCATCTGAATTTCAGGCTGAAATTCCTATTAGTTAAACATACAATCATGGCCCATAAAGTACTTGCCTACTAGATAACAATAATTGCCACAAGGTAGCACAATGTCTGGCACGTGATAAACCTCGAATGAATGAATAGAATTATTAAGGAAGGTAAATGAATTCAACAAAATGTAGAGCTAAAAAAAATAGTACTGATGATAGGAATTGTTTCCTTATCTGATTCAGGCACTAAGGAGAATTCTAGCTGGACCTCTTGGGGGAACCACAGTTTGTTTTTACTCCTTATGCTGAAGAATACAAAAGAAATAGAAGCAAATTCCTAGCATATGAACAAATAGCTAATCTTGAAATTTTTCTGCTTTCAGCAACATTTTATCTTATGATTATGAGCTATTTATGTTCTATTCCTCTGTCGATCAGTTTACTTTTTGGTAACATTTTATTATTAAAAGCTGTTTTGTGGAGGGGGCCAAGATTGCCGATTAGAAGCAGCTGAGGTCCGTGGCACTCACGGAGAGGAAAGAAACGGACAAGTGATACAGCATCTTCAACTGAAAGATCCAGGTACATGCATTTGGGACAGATCAGGGAAACAACTCCACCCACAGAGAATGAAGAAAAGCAGCACAGCGGTATGGCTCACCCAGGAGCAGCAGGGAGCCAAGGGAACCCCCACGATGCGGTAAGGGAATGTACAACCCCAGAAAACCATGCTTTTCCCATGAATCTTTGTAACCCGTGGATCAGGAAATCCCCTCGTGAGCCCAGGCCACCAGGGCCTTGGGTCCGACACACAGCTGTGTAGTCTCCACAGAGCAGCTGCTCAGTCACACACAGAGACCCAGGAGCTTTACAAACTCTGGCCCAAGGATCCCCAACAAACTTGTCTGCAACTCAGGCAGGGCGTGAAGTCCCTAAGTACCCCTAGGAAGGGGGCTGAATCCAGGAAGCCAAGCCACCTGGGTCTGCAGGCCCCCCACTTCCACAGCACCTCACAAGATAAAAGCTGTTTTGAAGACTATGTAGCTCTGTATATATCCAAAGCCATTTCAGAATAAATATAATTCATTCATTCTTTCTATTTCTTATTCATTGGTTAACAAGTATTTAGAGCCCAAGGAATGCATCAGGTACATTGAAAATTGCTGGGGCATCAGTGGTGAATAAAGAGAAACCCAGGTGTTTCCTTCACAGAGCTGAGGATTCACTGAGAGACTAGCAAAGGAGAAAAGACATAGACCTGAGCGGTTATAAAAGAATTCCTAGATGAAAAGATATGGGACCAGAAGGATGAAAAGGAGTCAGCAGAATGGGGTCCGGCGCAGTGGCTCACACCTGTAATTCCAGCACTTCGGGAAGCCGAGGCAGGCGGATCAGGAGGTCAAGAATTCGAGACCAGGCTGGCCAACATGGTGAAACCCCCGTCTCTACTAAAAATACAAAAATTAACTCAGTGTGGTGGCAGGCACCTGTAATCTCAGCTACTTGGGAGGCTGAGGCAGGAGAATCGTTTGAACCCGGGAGGCAGAGGTTGCAGTGAGCTGAGATCACACCATTACACTCCAGCCTGGACGACAGTGCAAGACTATGTCAAAAAAATAAAATAAAATATAGGAAAGAAAAGAAAAGAAGTCAGCAGAATGCATAGGCATGAAGCTGAGAGCAGTGCTTGCAGGAGAGAGAATGCATAACAAAGGCCCAGGAAGTGAAAAGAGTATGCAGGAAACCTAATCAGTGCAATATGGCCATGATCATTAATTCACTCATTCACTCAGCAATTATTTACTGAACCCCCAACTTGTGTGCCAGGCACCATGACAGACACTGAGCTTATAAAGTCTTGTAAATTGTAAGACATGAAGCTAGAGAGATAGGGAAAGAAAATATCAAGAAGGGACTTATAGTTGTGTTAAGACTTAATGCTAAGGACCGTGGGAGAAACAGGGAAGGTATATTTAAGATAGAGAGTGATACAGCTAGATTTTAATTTTTTAATGATAATCCCAACTACAGTATGTAAAATGGATTGAAGGATCAAGACTGGAAGCAGGAGAGCACCTAGGGGTTTATTGTAATTATTTCAGTGTGAAAGGCTGGAGGCCTCAGCCCTGGTGTTGTCAGTAAGGATGCAGAATGTGGTGGACACTATTAGGTCCAGCTCAAATCCCCTTTACCAGGCCAGTGCACATATGCCCCAACTACTATGTGTCTGGGCTGCTAATAGCTCTCAGCCTTGTCCTTTTCTGGACAGTTGCACCAGATTAAATGGGAGCTGTGTTACTTGGGGTATATTGTTCCCTCTCCTGGGGCCCACCAGCAATGATTGACTGGAATAGGGTTTAAGAGATTAGTTCCTTTGTCTCAAGGTGGAAGCAGTTCTGTAGTACAATGTATACCTCACAGCTCCCGGGGCTCCAGGCTAGAGGCAGACGAGTTGAGACTACATCCTTCCTTCCCTACTATAGTATGTTTCCTTCAATCTTTTCCCCTTATAAATCACGTTTATTAAAATTCCCATATCATCCTCTGCACCTAGGGAAATCAAACTAACATGGAGAGATATAGAAGGTTTCGAAGAATATTTTTGAATTCTAAACAAAACAACTTGATATAGGATGAAGATGAGAGAGAGAGAAGTCACAGATGAAACTTGGGCCCTGGCTTAGATCACTGGATGGAAGGAAGACAGAGAAAATTAATGAGGTTTTGAATATGTTGAACGATGTTCAAATCTCAATGTAGCATTAAATATTACTCACATAGGTGATCCTAGGACCTATCCTCAGAAACAAGCCCTGGAGGCAAGGCATAGAGGCAGAATCATGGTTGACAGGGGTTGGGAGAATGGGCATAACGGGGAGATGTAGGTCTGAAAATACAACATTTCAGTTAAACCAAGTGAATAAAGTCCTGAAGATCAAATGAACAGCCTGGTGATTATACTTAATAATAGTAATGTAATGTATACTTGAAATTTACTGGGAGACTAGATCTGAAATCTTACCAAAAAAAATAGTACCTATGTGAGGTGAGAGCTATGACAACTAGCTTGATTGTGGTAATCATTTTACTGTATATACATATATCAAAACATCACATTGCATACCTTAAATATATGCAATTTTTGTTAGTATTACCTCAATAAAGCTAAGAAATATTAGAAATTAAATGATGTGATATAATTATTTAATAATACATAGTTGATTTTTTATTGTAAAGATGCTAATATTTGTCTTATTATTCTAAGGGAAGTAACTGAGGAATGGAGAACCAAACATTGTATATTCTCACTGATATGTGGGAGCTAAGCTATGAGGACACAAAGGAATAAGAATGATACAATAGACTTTGGGGACTTGGGAAGAAGATTGGGAGGGGGATGAGGGATAAATTACAATAAATATGGGGCAGTGTATACTGCTTGGGTGATTGGTGCATTAGGATCTCACAAAACTCCACTAAAGAACGTACTCAGAGGAGTACCCAGCCGTGTGAGGTGTCAGTCTGCCCCTAATGGGGGATGCCTCCCAGTTAGGCTACTCGGGGGTCAGGGACCAACTTGAGGAGGCAGTGTGTCCATTCTCAGATCTTCAGCTGCATGCTGGGAGAATCACTACTCCCTTCAAAGCTGTCAGACAGGGACATTTAAGTCTGCAGAGGACTAAATGCCCACAAGAGAAAGCAGGAAATATCTAAAACTGACACCTTAACATCACAATTAAAAGAACTAGAGAAGCAAGAGCAAACAAATTCAAAAGCTAACAGAAGGCAAGAAATAACTAAGATCAGAGCAGAACTGAAGGAAATAGAGACAAAAAAAACCTTCAAAAAATCAATGAATCCAGGAGATGGTTTTTTGAGAAGATCAACAAAGTTGATAGACCGCTGGCAAGACTAATAAAGAAGAAAAGAGAGAAGAATCAAATAGATGCAATAAAAAATGATAAAGGAGATATCACCACCAATCTCACAGAAATACAAACTACCATCAGAGAATACTATAAACACCTCTATGCAAATAAACTAGAAAATCTATAAGAAATGGATAAATTCCTTGACACATACACCCTCCCAAGACTAAACCAGGAAGAAGTTGAATCTCTGAATAGGCCAATAACAGGCTCTGAAATTGAAGCAATAATTAACAGCTTACCAACCAAAAAAAGTCCAGGACCAGATGGATTCACAGCCGAATTCTACCAGAGGTACAAGGAGGAGCTGGTACCATTCCTTCTGGAACTATTCCAATCAACAGAAAAAGAGGGAATCCTCCCTAACTCATTTTATGAGGCCAGCATCATCCAGATACCAAAGCGTGGCAGAGACGCAATAAAAAAAGAGAATTTTACACCAATACTCCTGATGAACATCGATGCAAAAATCTTCAATAAAATATTGGCAAACAGAATCCAGCAGCACATCAAAAAGCTTACCCATCATGATCAAGTGGGCTTCATCCCTGGGATGCAAGGCTGGTTCAACATATCCAAATAAATAAACGTAATCTAGAATATAAACAGAACCAAAGACAAAAACCACATGATTATCTCGATAGATGCAGAAAAGGCCTTTGACAAAATTCAACAGCCCTTCATGTTAAACACTGTCAATAAATTAGGTATTGATGGCACATATCTCAAAATAATAAGAGCTATCTATGACAAACCCACAGCCAATATCATACTGAATGAACAAAAACTGGAAGCATTCCCTTTGAAAACTGGAACAAGACAGGGACACCCTCTCTTACCACTCCTATTCAAAATACTGTTGGAAGTTCTGGCCAGGGCAATTAGGCAGGAGAAGGAAATAAAGGGTATTCAATTAGGAAAAGAGGAAGTCAAATTGTCCCTATTTGCAGAAGACATGATTGTATATCTAGAAAACCCCATCATCTCAGCCCAAAATCTCCTTAAGCTGATAGGCAACTTCAGCAAAGTCTCAGGATACAAAACCAATGTGCAAAAATGACAAGCATTCTTATACACCAATAACAGACAAACAGAGAGCCAAATCATGAGTGAACTCCCATTCACAATTGCTTCAAAGAGAATAAAATACTTAGGAATCCAACTTACAAGGGACGTGAAGGACCTCTTCAAGGAGAACTACAAACCACTGCTCAATGAAATAAAAGAGGATACAAACAAATGGAAGAACATTCCATGCTCATGGGTAGGAAGAATCAATATCGTGAAAATGGCCATAACTGCCCAAGGTAATTTATAGATTCAATGCCATCCCCATCAAGCTAACAATGACTTTCTTCACAGAATTGGAAAAAACTACTTTAAAGTTCATATGGAATCAAAAAAGAGCCCGCATTGCCAAGTCAATCCTAAGCCAAAAGAACAAAGACAGAGGCATCACGCTACCTGACTTCAAACTATACTACAAGGCTACAGTAATCAAAACAGCATGGTACTGGTACCAAAACAGAGATACACACCAATGGAACAGAACAGAGCCCTCAGAAATAATGTCACATATCTACAACCATCTGATTTTTTTTTTTTTTTTTTTTTTTTTTTTGAGACGGAGTCTCGCTCTGTCGCCCAGGCTGGAGTGCAGTGGCGCGATCTCGGCTCACTGCAAGCTCCGCCTCCCGGGTTCACGCCATTCTCCTGCCTCAGCCTCCCGAGTAGCTGGGACTACAGGCGCCCGCTACCACGCCCGGCTAATTTTTTGTATTTTTAGTAGAGACGGGGTCTCGATCTCCTGACCTCGTGATCCGCCCACCTCGGCCTCCCAAAGTGCTGGGATTACAGGCGTGAGCCACCGCGCCCGGCCAACCATCTGATTTTTGACAAACCTGACAAAAACAAGAAATGGGGAAAGGATTCCCTATTTAATTAATGGTACTGGGAAAATGGGCTAGCCATATGTAGAAAGCTGAAACTGGATCCATTCCTTACACCTTATACAAAAATTATTCAAGATGGATGAAAGACTTAAAGGTTAGACCTAAAACCATCAAAACCCTAGAAGAAAACCTAGGCAATACCATTCAGGACATAGGCATGGGCAAGGACTTCATGTGTAAAACACCAAAAGCAATGGCAACAAAAGCCAAAATTGACAAATAGAGTGAACGGGCAACCTACAGAATGGGAGAAAATTTTTGCAATCTACTCATCTGACAAAGGGCTAATATCCAGAATCTGTAATGAACTCAAACAAATTTACAAGAAAAAAACAACCCCATCAAAAAGTGGGCAAAGGATATGAATAGACACTTCTCAAAAGAAGACATTTATGCAGCCAAAAGACACATGAAAAAATGCTCATCATCACTGGCCATCAGACAAATGCAAATCAAAACCACAATGAGATACCATCTCACACCAGTTAGAATGGCGATCATTAAAAAGTCAGGAAACAACAGGTGCTGGAGAGGATGTGGAGAAATAGGAACACTTTTACTCTGTTGGTGGGACTGTAAACTAGTTCAACCATTGGGGAAGCCAGTGTGGTGATTCCTCAGGGATCTAGAACTAGAAATACCATTTGACCCAGCCATCCCATTACTGGGTATATACCCAAAGGACTATAAATCATGCTGCTATAAAGACACATGCACACGTATGTTTATTGCGGCTATTCACAATAGCGAAGACTTGGAACCAACCCAAATGTCCAACAATGATAGACTGGATTAAGAAAATGTGGCACATATACACCATGGGATACTATGCAGCCATAAAAAATGATGAGTTCATGTCCTTTGTAGGGACATGGATGAAACTGGAAACTGTCATTCTCAGCAAACTGTCGCAAGGACAAAAAATCACAAACTGCATGTTCTCACTCATAGGTGGGAATTGAACAATGAGAACACATGGACAAAGGAAGGGGAACATCACACACTGGGGCCTGTTGTGGGGTGGGGGGAGGGGGGAGGGATAGAATTAGGACATATACCTAATGTTAAATGATGAGTTAATGGGTGCCGCACACCAACATGTCACATGTATACATATGTAACAAACCTGCACGTTGTGCACATGTACCCTAAAACTTAAAGTATAATAAAAAAGAACTTTCTCATGTAACCAAATACCACCCGTACCCCACTAACTTATGGAAAAAAAACTTAAAAACACATACAATGGATCATACCAAGAAAAAGATACTAATATTTGTGATTAATATCTTCCTAAATCCAAACTGTTCATGAAAAGCATAATATGTTAAGTGAAGTTTGGCTTATCTATGACAGTTGATGGAATTATTAATGCTAAGTCAAAGTATAAAATCATTCAGGAATGAGCTGGATGTGGAAGGTAGAGCTGGAGGTTGAGCATGGTGGTCTCAGGAGCACAGATTCAGGGATACAAATGGGAATGGAGAATGAGATATCTCTGATAACAGCTTTTAATCTTTTTTATTCCATGAGTAATAGTAGGAAATAGAAGTGCATGAAAAAAGTTAAACTAATATAAACAATGAAGTGCACTGTGCATATAAGTCATCTTTATTAAGGCTGTTTACCTAATGATCCTCTCTAAGACTACCTGTACATGCTCAGTGGGGAACTCTTGTGAAAGTTTTAACAAGCATTACCAGTTTCACTGATAACCTTTCTATCCAGACTGTCTTGTCATCTTTATTAATTTCTTCACTACTCTAGAATGAGTCAAAAGACACTCTATAATTGTGTCCCAGGAATCTCTGCTGCATCCATCTTCTACTCACCACTCTAAAATTTCTTGGGTATCTTCATGCCAGGTACCTGTCTTGATGACTTATGTGTGATTTTGCCTTTCTGCCACCCTTGGATATCAAGTTTCAGTCACCCTTGGATATCAATTCTGGTTGTGTCCCTGGATGCTATATATTTCAGATTTTCTCATAACTTTACCTTTCTACACATTCCTGTTCCCATTCTAGTGCCAAAGTCTAACACCTAGTGACCCTTCATATACCTTTTGATAAAGGAGCAGAAACTAGATCCTTCATGCTTTGAAGAGTATTACAATTGCCAAATCATGAAAATTCAGTTAAAAGTTTATATAAGCCAGGCATGTGCCTCATTTTTTAATCCCACGCTTTGGGAGGCTGAGGTGGATGGATCACCTGAGGTCGGGAGTTCAAGACCCACATGGCCAACATGGTGAAACCCCGTCTCTACTAAAAATATAAAAATTATCCAGGCATGGTTGCACATGCCTGTAGTTCCAGCTACTCAGGAGGCTGAGGCAGGAGAATCGCTTTAACCCAGGAGCCCAAATTGTGCCACTGCACTCCAGCCAGGGCGATAGAATGAGACTCTGTCTCAAAAAAAAATTCCAAGTAATTGTTCATCTTCTGTCTATATATCTTCAGTGAAAGAATTAATCATATACCAGTGCATAGCTAATAGTAAAATTAAATGAAATTATAACATTAGGTTATACAGACTCTTTTAATAAATTGTGTTCTTTTCATTTTTAGACTTTACAATAAAAAAATAATTGCAGCTACCTGCTACCAACAAAGTGTGTAGAATAAGGAGCCATATCTCAATTTATATCTCATTCTGCCACTAACTTGAGGTTTGGTCAGATCATGCCATATATATGCACTTCGATATCCTGTAAAATGTGTTACAAGAATTAAGGATAAAATTTGGGTGCTATTTATCAATGTATTGCCTCTCAGCTCCAAATACAACCTTCATTGCCTGCTGCATATTAATGAAAATAAGCCCTGTAGAAATGTATCCTCTGCACCTAGTCTTCTTTGATGCTAACTTTTACCAGTATAGGAAATCAAAAGGGGCATCTCTTCCTGATTTAAATATGTTTCTGTTTTCATCTTACTCTATGTAGCTTCCAGCACATGTGTTTGGCTGGGGGAGGGAGAGACATTCAGAAGTGCTCACTTCCATTGAGTTTCACTGACAACTTCACGGAAAATTTCCCATTGAGTTTCAGTGATGCCTCTGCAAGGAGATTCCAATAAATCACACAGATACTCCAGCAATCAGTTTTCCAAAACTGCCTATCTATAATGGGGTAGCCTTTGTCCACCTGCACCCCAGAGGGTTATTTCCTCCTTGCCAGTCCAGGCTACAGTTCCTCATTTACCAGCCTCAGCCCACCAGTATCCCAGTGAAAGTCTCCCTGCTGGCCAGTCCCAGACAAGTTTCTTGTGGGGCAGCTCTGGCCCAAGACTACCCAGTGAATTTCTCCATCATCCAATGGGCAACAACTACATTTTCTTCAAAATATTGGAATCTCAGCCTTGGGAAGGGAGCCCAGCTCCCAGATGTGTTCCTTTCTTAGATACTCATCTCTCAGTCACAGGGCATTCTTTACTTCTTTATAGTTAATCCCTCGATATAATTAATAATTTTATGTAAATTTTCACTGCTCATATCGGGGAAGCTGTGTGATCTGTCTCCTGATTGAACCCTAACTGATACAATATGGAAAAAACTTAATATAATGCAGCCTTGCAGGCATTAGATGAACAGTACATCTTTTTACAATACAACCAATATATAGTGACCAATAAAATTTACAAAAGAAAGTATGTATATATTAAGCCAGAGTCCAAAGTAAAGAAATATCATTAAACTTGTTATTTTCAATAATCAGCAGTAACCAACAGCTTAATGTTATATAATAAGATTATTTTAATATCAATCTAATATTCTACATTTATACTTTTTAGCATCTAGAGATGTTTCAAGTTTCCAGGCAATTGATGAATATGTATTAATTAAAAAGCAATAGTGGTGATGACAAGAGTGTAGGATAACAGACAGTAAGCTTTACAGTCCAAGTTTTAGCTTTATGCTTTACTATCTGCAAGCATTAGCCAGCCCATTGTTAGAGTTGACATATTCATCTACAAATCAAGAAGCTTAAATACCTATTACCTCTATGATGAGTGCTCAATGGTCTTATTTAGTCATTATCTGAAATAACTTTTTTTCTCCAAAGCTTCCTTATTGCACTTTTTACCTCAGCATTTCTGAGTGTGTAGATCAAAGGATTTAACATTGGGACCACCATAGTATAAAATACAGCAGCAGCTTTATCAATGGGCAGAGTTTGTCACTGGGTGCAGATACACAAATATACAAGGCACAAAGAATAAGACAACTATTATGATGTGAGAAATACAGGTGGAGAGGGCTTTACCCCTCCCCTCCAAGATATAGTTCTTTAAACATCTCAAGATGATCACATAGGATACCACCTAGAGAAGGAAGTTTAATAAGCAGATGAACCCACTGTTGGCAGCAACAAAGAGACCAAGGGTATGAGTGTCCAGGCAAACAAGTTTTAACAAAGGGCACAAGTCACACATGAAGTGGTCTATGACATTGGGGCCACAGAAGGGCAGCCATACTGTAAATAGAATCTGAATATTTGCATGGAGAAATCCTCCTATCCAGGCCACTACCACTAGGAGAATGCACAGGCTGTGGCTCATGATGGTTGTGTAGTGCAGAGGTTTGCAGATGGCCACATAGTTGTCACAGGCCATCACTGTCAGCAGGATGATCTCAGTAGCACCAAAAATGTGTTCTTCATAGGCTTGAGCCATACACCCATTAAAGGAGATGATTTTCTTCTCATGAAGGGAATCGACAATCAACTTAGGAGCTGAAGAAGAAGAATAAACTGTGTCTATCAAAGAAAGGTGGCTCAGGAAGAAGTACATGGGGGAGCTAAGAGCCTGGCTGGTGGTAATTGTAACCACAAGGAGCAGGTTGCCTGAAAGTGTTATCATGTAAAGAACCAAAAATACTGCAAACATGACTTTCTCCATTTTAGGGTTCTGTGTAAGACCTGTTAAAACGAATTCAGTCACATTCCTTTTATTCTTCATCTATGTAGTGTGGGTGATAAAACCTCCAGGAAGGAATATTTTACCTTTAGAAAAAAAAAATGAAAAAAAAGAAGCATAAAAGAATCAAATAGTCCAAAACTTTGCCTTTTCATTACTCTGCCATCTCACAGATGATTCCTTCTGTTCCCAAAATTCTCTAGGAATAGGTACCTGTAAACTTCTCCAGCTGACTTCTTAGTTTTTTATTAGCCTGACCTCAAAAATATTCTTAGAAGACATGGGACACCCAGAAGAGAGAGATTCCATTTCCTAGAGGGTAGTTGTTTCAAAACTTCACTTAGACATCAATATGATGGATTAATGCATTCATTAAAGGTAATAGTTTTGGAGACTAATAAGACTTTAAAATGTATGTATGAAATAACATGAACTAAAAACCATAAAATAGTCTGTATATCTTAATTATAAATATGCAAATATTCTATAGGTTAAAAGTTAGCGATAATAGTTATAGATTTAGTATTTGAAGATGACAGGTTTTATAGGTATATTTTAGTAACAAAATTTAACTTCAAAAATTTTAGTTATAAAATTTTATATAGGTTTTGTTTTACCTATGTTAAAACATATGGGTAGAGAAAAGTTGTTAAGGAAATAATATATTTAGGACATTTACTTCTGGATGTGAAACTATGGGTGATTTTTATCTCTTTATGTTTTTTAGTATTTTCTACAGCTTGCATAACTACCTGTATAGTCAGAAAAGAAATATAGTTTCTATACTTTTTCTTGGAGACCTGAAGCTGAAATCATAAATGTTTACATTGAGCAGAATATGTAGGAAAACAAATATATGGAATTGTACCTTGGTACACGATGGGAATCCAGGAAATAGCTGGGTATAGTTGAAATAACTACTATAATGTGCTCATTAAATTTTTGTCACCAAGTCACCAAATGGACATAGGGAGAGTGCCTGACTGGACCCTAAATTTTCTGAAAAGATCAGGACAGAGGATGAGGCTGCCATGACTGCCCATGGATCTTTTAGAATCTTCCTAATATCATCTTTAGTCTACCAGCCAAAGATTGTTGATCTCTGGTTTTATACCATTGATATGATAGCGAATAAGTCAAGCCTGAATAATCAATGAGAATCTCCTTAATACATAGTCTATTTTCATTTACTTGAAGAAGAGTGCACATTTCATTCAATTAACTTTAAGATAGTACTTAAAACTAAGTTTTGCTGTTATTAATTCTCACTTTTTCCTAGACTTCAGATTTTTTTTCTTTATCTTTATGTGTTCTTAAAGCACAAAGACAGTGGTGGGTAAGATGAATTGCCTCTGTTACATGGGTACATGAAAAGGTAACATCTTCCTGATGATCCCACAAATGCTTCATTGAGAAGTGGGCCTAAGAGCTCCAAGCTCCAGGATCATGGTCTCCCTTCTGGATAGCCCAATGCTCCAGAGAATCCTTTCAGGGACAAGAACTCTTGAGAATAAGGTTGGATGCCCTTCTAATTACCAACTTTTCCCTAGAGGAGATGGCTTTTGAGAGAACCAACAATCAACTAATCTTTTTACAACTTCCTGAAGGTCTGAGCCAAAGGTTAGACTTCCTGATCAAAACCAGACAGAAAACTCCAAACTTGACTCATTCATTTTCATTATCTCACTTATTCAATTTCTTGCAAGTCTTGAAGTAATTAGAAAATATTTAAAGAGCAGTTCTTTTTTACAATTTTCATCTCCTTCCTACTTCCCTGCAGACACAAACATACAAACAGAACAACTCAGTCTCATGTTCAAAATTGGTGTCTTTGATGTTCACTGTTAATTGGGAGACTCGAGCCAAAGATAGCACAGAACTAGTGCAAAGATATAGTGTGCCTATTACCATTTAAATCCTCTAATACTCATATTTTTACAGAAATTAGAAATGGAGAAAAGTGTCAACCCAGCAGAAAGACCTTGATATTCCATAAAAGGGCCCTCAGACCACAATTGAGAGGTAAGGACATAAACAAATTTCTTCCCAGAGAAACTGTTGTTACCTTTTTAAATTTCATATACTAGTTTTGAAATGCAAACTTTTACTACCACTCTGCTTTTCCCCATTCTTACTTTCTAGCATGCAGGGATTTATTTTTATACCCTGTACTTCCTATAATAATGGTTCATTTTTATTGTGTGCTTGCCGTGTGCTTGGTACTATACTAAATGCTTTACATGCATTTTTTCACTTAATCTTCACAACAATGCTTTGAAGATGGTACACAATTATCCATATTTGAAAGAAAAGTAAACTGTGATGAGAAGAAAATTTACCCAAAATTACAGTGTTAATAAAAAAAAAAAAAACAGAGAAGCCTGTATTCAAGCACAAGATGTCTGCCTCTAGCTCTTCAGCATTTAGCCAGTGCTTCTCTAGTATCAATCCAGTTTACTTCTGGGACTCAGCATTTCCAGAGTTTGGACAAGTGGACTAGTACCTAAAGCTAACACCTGTGACCATAAGAAATTAATGGCATTCCTTTTGCTAAGCTAAGAAATGCAGAGTCAGATGTAATGAGTTCAAGGATCCAATTGGACAAGACTCTAGAATTGTTAGACATTAAAAATCCTCAGGTACCTTGCACGGCATCCACTTATCCGTACTTTAAAGATGAAGAAACTGAAGTCTCAAGAGGTGACATCCGAGAAAACACAGCTAATTTATTTTTGGCAGAGAATAAAAAGAAAATCCATGTCTAATAATGCCCAACAAAATGAATTTTTTTCCATCACATCTGGCCTTCCTTAAGATAGCTTAATACAAGTGTAGACAAGGAAAAATCACCCTACAGTGACAAAATTAACTTTCATGTCTTATCTTTACCAATACCTGTCTTGATTGTCTAAGAAAGAGGCTAAGTCTTAGTTCAGGGATGAAGAAATGCAGCCATATTGCTGAGACCACATCCATTGTGGCAGAAACAAGTTCTCATATGGTTAAAATAATATCTGGGATCACATGAATAGAGTCAAAATAAAAAATACCCCTAAGCCTGGAGTTTAATATAGATTCCTAATTACAGCAGCAGGCACACTCTTTACTTGCAGATCCTGTATTTTAATGCACTTGCCTTTTGATCTCAGTCTTAGAGCTAAAGTTTTCATTTGAATAACATAATCCAAATTCTCTCCTTCTCTTCCCTCCCATACTGATCTGTCCTGAGCTCGGTGAAGGTCACACACCCTGTCAGCTCTAATTTAACTTTGTCTTTCTTTATTTTCAATTGTTTCTCATATCTCCTGCTACTAGTACAAGGTGAGATTTCCCCTCTTTTTCTCCCTGGAAACTTTCAAAGTCAGAGTATTATTTCAAGGAAATGAGTGATTCTACATAAACCAATCTCTGACTATCATTACATCATATGCCCTACCTCTGGAGAAAATCTTCAATGACCCATCCACCTACTGCACTCTCTCCACACTTTAAAGCCTAGAAATTGACTCAGGAATCCATAAAATGTTAACCTTTCCCTGATAACTTGTAGTTATATCAATATACAGTGAGGAGAATAAATATTTCTGCAAATTATACTAAAACATTTAGAAGTGATTCACCATCAAATATCAGATGTAATACTTTAATGATTTCAATTATAAGCCCCTTGGGAGAAAGAGGAAATGCAAGAAACTGGATTAAGAATAAGCACCTTTAGGTAACTTACTGTGATTGCCTCTATAGTTTAGGAGAATGGCCAATGTATTCAGAAATAGGAAGTAACCATTATAGGTACCTGTTCAAACAGCATGTTATGTAACATATATACCCAAGCCTCCACTGACTGCACAATTTTACAAAAAGCACAGAATGCCAAGATGACACAAATTTCTTCAAATGCATTCAGCAGGGATTTTCAAAACTCCAATGCCTTTGAAGTTCAAGTTAAAGGTAAAGAAAATGTTAGTTGAATTTGAAACTCCAAGTTCTTAGTTATGAAACAGAATCTTCTGATCTTCTCCAGCATATAGATCTACACTGTAGAGGAAGGGACACAAGAGAGGAGCCAAGAAGGCTGAATAGGAACAGCTCCAGTCTACAGCTCCCAGTGTGAGTAACGCTGAAGATGGGTGATTTCTGCATTTCCAACTGAGGTACCAGGTTCATCTCACTGGGGAGTGCCAGACAGTAGCTGCAGGACAGTGGGTACAGTACACCAGGTTTGACCTGAAGCAGGGTGAGGCATCGCCTCATCCAGGAAGCAAAAGGGGTCAGGGAATTCCCTTTCCTAGTCAAAGAAAGTGGTGACAGATGGCACCTGGAAAACCGGATCACTCCCACACTAATACTGCGCTTTTCCAATGGGCTTAAAAAATGGCACACCAGGAGATTATATCCCGTACATGGCTTGGAGGTCCTACGCCCATGGACTCTCACTCATTACTAGCACAGCAGCCCAAGATGAAACTGCAAGGTGGCAGCGAGGCTGGGGGAGGGGCGCCCAGCATTGCCAAGTTAGTTGTTTGATTAGGTAAACAAAATGGTAAGGAAGCTCAAACTGGGTGGAGCCCACTACAGCTCAAGGAGGCCTCCTTGCCCCTGAAGGCTCCACCTCTGGGGGCAAGGCACAGACAAACAAAAAGACAGCAGTAAACTCCGCAGACCTAAATGTCCCTCCCTCACAGCTTTGAAGAGAGTAGTGTTTCTCCCAGCACGCAGCTGGAGATCTGAGAATGGGCAGACTGCCTCCTCAAGTGGGTACTTGACACCCAAGTAGCCTAACTGGGAGGCACTCCCCAACTAGGGGCGAACTGACACCTCATACTGCTGGGTACTCCTCTGAGACAAAACTTCCAGAGGAGCGATCAGGCAGCAGCATCTGTGGTTCACCAATATCCTCTGTTCTGCAGCCACCACTGCTGATACCCAGGCAAACAGTGCCTGGAGTGGACCTCTAGCAAACTCCAACAGACCTGCAGCTGAGGGTCCCGTCTGTTAGAAGGAAAACTAACAAACAGAAAGGTCATCCACACCAAAAACCCAACTGTACTTCACCATCATCAAAGACCAAAGGTAGATAAAACCACAAAGATGAGAAAAATCAGAGCAGAAAAACTGGAAACTCTAAAAATCAGAGTGCCTCTCCTCCTCCAAAACAACACAGCTCCTCACCAGCAACAGAACAAAGCTGGACGGAGAATGACTTTGACTAGTTGAGAGAAGAAGGCTAAAGACGATCAAACTACTCCGAGTTACAGGAGGAAATTCAAACCAATGGCAAAGAAGTTAAAAGCTTTGAAAAAAAATTAGGAGAATGTATAACTAGAATAACGAAAGCAGAGAAGTCCTTAAAGGACCTGATGGAGCTGAAAACCAAGGCACAAGAGCTACATGACAAGCGTGGAAGCCTCAGAATCCGATGTGATCAACTGGAAGAAAGGGTATCAGAGATAGAAGATGAAATGAATGAAATGAAGCAAGAGGAGAAGTTTAGAGAAAAAAGAATAAAAAGAAATGAACAAAGCCTCAAAAAAAATATGGGACTATGTGAAAAGACCAAATCTACGTCTGATTGGTGTACCTGAAAGTCACAGGGAGAATGGAACCAAGTTGGAAATCACTCTGCAGGATATTATCCAGGAGAACTTCCCCAATCAAGCAAGGCAGGCCAACATTCAAATTCAGGAAAGATAGAGAACGCCAAAATGATACTCCTCAAGAAAAGCAACTCCAAGACACATAACTATCAGATTTACCAAACTTGAAATGAAGGAAAAAATGTTAAGGGCAGCCAGAGAGAAAGGTCGGGTTACCCACAAAGGGAAGCCCATCAGACTAACAGTGGATCTCTCAGCAGAAACTCTACAAGCCAGAAGAGAGTGGGGACCAATATTCAACATTCTTAAAGAAAAGAATTTTCAACCCAGAATCTCATATCCAGCCAAACTAGGCTTCATAAAGTGAAGGAGAAATAAAATCCTTTACAGACAAGCAAATGCTGAGAGATTTTGTCACCACCAGGCCTGCCCTAAAAGAGCTCCTGAAGGAAGCACTTTTAGGAAACATGGAAAGGAACATGGAAAGGAAGAACCGGTACTAGCCACTGCAAAAACATGCCAAATTGTAAAGACCATCAAGGCTAGGAAGAAACTGCATCAACTAATGGGCAAAATAACCAGTTACCATCATAATGACAGGATCAAATTCACACATAACAATATTAACTTTAAATATAAATGGGCTAAAATGCCCCAATTAAAAGACACACACTGGCAAATTGGATACAGAGTCAAGACCCATCAGTGTGCAGTATTCAGGAAACCCATCTCACATGCAGAGACACACATAGGCTCAAAATAAAGGGATGGAGGAAGATCTACCAAGCAAATGGAGAACAAAAAAAGGCAGGGTTTGCAATCCCAGTCTCTGATAAAACAGACTTTAAACCAAAAAAAATCAAAAGAGACAAAGAAGGCCATTACATAATGGTAAAGGGATCAATTAAACAAGAAGAGCTAACTATCCTAAATATATATGCACCCAATACAGGCATACCCAGATTCATAAAGCAAGTCCTTAGTGGCCTACAAAGAGACTTAGACTCCCACACAATAATAATGGGAGACTTTAACACCCCACTGTCAACATTAGACAGATCAATGACACAGAAAGTTAACAAGAATGCCCAGGAATTGAACCCAGCTCTGCACCAAGTGGACCTAATAGACACCTACAGAACTCTCCACCCCAAATCAACAGAATATACATTCTTTTCAGCACCACACCACACCTACTCCAAAATTGACCACATGGTTGGAAGTAAAGCACTCCTCAGTAAATGTAAAAGAGCAGAAATTATAACAAACTCTCTCTCAAACCACAGTGCAATCAAACTAGAACTCAAGATTAAGAAACTCACTCAAAACCACTCAACTACATGGAAACTGAACAACCTGCTTCTGAATGACTACTGGGTAAATAATGAAATGAAGGCAGAAATAAAGATGTTCTTTGAAACCAATGAGAACAAAGACACAACATACCACAATCTATGGGACACATTCAAAGCAGTGTGTAGAGGGAAATTTATAGCACTAAATGCCCACAAGAGAAAGCAGGAAAGACCTAAAACTAACACATAACATCACAATTAAAAGAACTAGAGAAGCAAGAGCAAACACATTCAAAAGCTAGCAGAAGGCAAGAAAGAACTAAGATCACAGTGGAACTGAAGGAAATAGAGACACAACAAACCTTCAAAAAATTAATGAATCCAGGAGCTGGTTTTCTGAAAACATCAAAAACATTGAGAGACCGCTAGCAAGACTAATAAAGAAGAAAAGAGAGAAGAATCAAATAGACGCAATAAAAAATGAGAAAGGGGATAATACCACTGATCCCACAGAAATACAAACTACCATCAGAGAATACTATAAACACCTCTATGCAAATAAACTAGAAAATCTAGAAGAAATGGATAAATTCCTCAACACGTACATCCTCCCAAGACTAAACCAGGAAGAAGTTGAATCTCTGAATAGACCCACAACAGGCTATGAAATTGAGGCAATAATCAATAGCTTACCAACCAAAAATAGTCCAGGACCAGATGGATTCAAAGCCGAATTCCACCAGAGGTACAAAGAGGAGCTGGTACCATTGCTTCTGAAGCTATTCCAATCAATAAAAAAAGAGGGAATCCTCCCTAACTCATTTTATGAGGCCAGCATCTTTGTCATACCAAAGCCTGGCAGAGACACAACCAAAAAAGAGAATTTTAGACCAATATCCTTGATGAATATCGATGGCAAAATCCTCAATAAAATACTGGCAAACCGAATCCAGCAGCACATCAAAAAGCTAATCCAACATGATCAAGTGGGCTTCATCCCCGGAATACAAGGCTGGTTCAACATACACAAATCAATAAATGTAATCCAACACATAAACAGAACCAAAGACACAAACCACATGATCGTCTCAGCAGATGCAGAAAAAGCCTTTGACAAAATTCAACAATCCTTCATGCTAAAAACTCTCAATAAATTAGGTATTGATGGGACGTATCTCAAAATAAGAAGAGCTATTTATGACAAAAGCACAGCAAATATCATACTGAATGGACAAAAACTGGAAGCACTCCCTTTGAAAACTGGCACAAGACAGGGATGCCCCTCTCACCACTCCTATTCAACATAGCGTTGGAAGTTCTGGCCAGGGAAATCAGGCAGGAGAAGGAAATATAGGGTATTCAATTAGGAAAAGAGGAAGTCAAATTGTCCCTGTTTGCAGATGACATGATTGTATATCTAGAAAACTCCATTGTCTCAGCCCAAAATCTCCTCAGGCAGATAAACAATGTCAGCAAAGTCTCAGCATACAAAATCAATGTACAAAAATCACAAGCATTCTTATACACCAATAACAGACAAACAGAGAGCCAAATCATGAGTGAACTCCCATTCACAATTGCTTCAAAGAGAATAAAATACCTAGGAATCCACCTTACAAGGGATGTGAAGGACCTCTTCAAGGAGAACTACAAACCACTGCTCAATTAAATAAAAGAGGATACAAACAAATGGAAGAATATTCCGTGCTCATGGGTAGGAAGAATCAATATCGTGAAAATGGCCATACTGCCCAAGGTAATTTATAGATTCAATGCCATCCCCATCAAGCTAACAATGACTTTCTTCACAGAATTGGAAAAAACTACTTTAAAGTTCATATGGAACCAAAAAAGAGCCCACATCACCAAGTCAATCCTAAGCCAAAAGAACAAAGCTCGAGGCATCACGCTACCTGACTTCAAACTATACTACAAGGCTACAGTAACCAAAAGAGTGTGCTACTGGTACCAAAACTGAGGTATACACCAATGGAACACAACAGAGCCCTCATATATAATGCTGCGTATCTACAACTATCTGATCTTTGACAAACCTGAGAAAAACAAGCAATGGGGAAAGGATTCCCTATTTAATAAATGGTGCTGGGAAAACTGGCTAGCCATATGTAGAAAGCTGAAACTGGATCCCTTCCTTACATCTTATACAAAAATTATTCAAGATGGATTAAAGACTTACATGTTAGACCTAAAACCATCAAAACCCTCGAAGAACCTAGGCAATACGATTCAGGGTTAGGCATGGGCAAGGACTTCATGTCTAAAACACCAAAAGTAATGGAAACAAAAGCCAAAATTGACAAATGGGATCTAATTAAACTAAAGAGCTTCCGCACAGCAAAAGAAACTACCATCAGAGTGAACAGGCAACCTACAGAATGGGAGACAATTTTTGCAATCTACTCATCTGACAAAGGGCTAATATCCAGAATCTACAATGAACTCAAACAAATTTACAAGAAAAAAAAAACCCATGAAAAAGTGGGCGAAGGATATGAACAGACACTTCTCAAAAGAAGACATTCATGCAGCCAAAAGACACATGAAAAAATGCTCATCATCACTGGCCATCAGAGAAATGCTAATCAAAACCACAATGAGATACCATCTCACACCAGTTAGAATGGCGATCATTAAAAAGTCAGGAAACAACAGGTGCTGGACAGGATGTGGAGAAATAGCAACACTTTTACTCTGTTGGTGGGACTGTAAACTAGTTCAACAATTGTGGAAGTCAGTGTGGCCATTCCTCAGGGATATAGAACTAGAAATACCATTTCACCCAGCCATCCCATTACTGAGTATACACCCAAAGGATTATAAATCATGCTGCTATAAAGACTCATGCACACATATGTTTATTGCGGCACTATTCACAATAGCAAAGACTTGGATCCAACCTAAATGTCCAACAACGATAGACTGGATTAAGAAAATGTGGCACATATACACCATAGAATACTATGCAGCCATAAAAAATGATGAGTTCATGTCCTTTGTAGGGACATGGATGAATCTGGAAACCATCATTCTCAGCAAACTGTCGCAAGGACAAAAAACCAAACACGGCATGTTCTCACTCATAGCTGGGAATTGAACAATGAGAACACATGGACACAGGAAGGGGAACATCACACACTGGGGCCTGTTGTGGGGTGGGGGGAGGGGGGAGGGATAGCATTAGGAGATATACCTAATGCTAAATGACGAGTTAATGGGTGCAGCATACCAACATGGTACATGTATACATATGTAACAAACCTGCAAGTTGTGCACATGTACCCTAAAACTTAAAGTATAATAATAATAAAATTTTAAAAAAAAGAAATTTATATTTCATTTGACCCAGAATTTGCACCTTTGAGGATTTATCCTACAAACCCATATAAATGGGAAAAGATATGTTTATAGGTTGTGGATGGTATCATTGTTTCAACAGCAAAAGAAATGTATACTATTTAATTTTCATAATGAAGAATTGGTTTTAAAAATTGTGATACACTCAAACTAAGGAATACTATACAGGTATAAAATGAAGGAGGACACGTTTTGTGTACTGATGTGGAAAGATTCTAAATATATATCCTTATGTAAAAAATATATATATATAAATGTATATAGCATGCTATTGTTTGTGTAAAAGTAAAAATACAAGAAAATATATTTGAAAAAAAAGAAAAAAGAAAAAAACAATAAAAAAAACCAATGCAGTAAAAAAAAAAAGAATAAGGGACACAAATATTCTAATAATATCCCCTCTCTTATTCTGCCTTTAAAATAAGAAAACAGCTTCTCTTGAATCATAGTGTTTGGAGAGGATATTGAGAACATTAAAGGATCTATCATTATATCTAAGGCTTTGCCCTCCCAGGGATTAATTATCTCTGTTTTTAAAAGATTTTTTCCTTAGAAACAGATATTTGGGAGTATTTGTCTATTAGCAAACTATCTTCACCTGATTAGATATTTTCCTTGCATTTTAACCTATTAACATCCTACATCCCTGGCCTGGAATATTATGCAACAAAGCCCTCCTTTTATAAGCCCTTAGGTGTCATGAAGGATTCTAAATGCTTGTGGATAACAAAATGGGGTTTCATTCAGGTTGAATATTTCTGAGGAAGTTTCCTCACTGTCTGAGGTCACAGAGGAGGCTGAGATTCTGAATCAATCTCTCAACTGTACTATAAACACATAAGGACACATTCCACCCATAGAAATGAACCTTGAAACTTGATGCACTTTCAGGCAGAGTGGTATCTGGGGTTGGGAGGCAAATTGAAGCTAAAATCCTAGTGTCAACTTTTCCAGTGTAAAAATCCAAAAAGATCGATTTGTATGCCTTCCCATTGACATTTTTCGGAAGTCTACAAAGTCCACCAGCCATTCAACAGAAAAATCCTCACCTAGGCAAAGAGACTTCAAATTTACTTCACACATAATTTCCAGGACAGTGGAAATTTGCAAACCAAATATGTTCTGCCATCTTGCAAACATATATTACAGCAACTACTCTGCAGTCTGAAGAATAGGATGCTGTTTAAATCACATATCATAAGAGTTGTAACTGCTACTATATTTTAAAATATGGGTAAGCAGTGAATGGAGAACCAAGAGAAATAGCATAATACCAGCTATCATTACTGAACACTATGTATTTTATTCTATCGACATAGTGTATAACATTGACTAGTTTTCATATATTGAAACAACCTTGTATTCCCAATTATTTAGGAATTATATCCTAAATTACATATTTAGGATTTATATCCCACTTAGTCATGGTGTATATTTCCTTTCATAGGCTACTGAATGCCATTTGCAAAACTTTTGTTGAGAATTTTTGTATTAATATCTATTTTCATAACATATGGCTGCAGTTTACTTTTCTTTTTTTTTCTTTTTTTAAATTTTTTTCTTATACCTTAAGTTTTAGGGTACACGTGCACAACGTGCAGGTTTGTTACATACGCATACATGTGCCATGTTGGTATGCTGCACCCATTAACTCGTCATTTAGCATAAGGTGTATCTCCTAATGCTATCCCTCCCCCATCCCCCCACTCCACAACTGTCCCCAGTGTGTGATGTTCCCCTTCCTGTGTCCATGTGTTCTCATTGTTCAATTCCCACCTATGAGTGAGAACATGTGGTGTTTGGTTTTTTGTCCTTGCGACAGTTTGCTGAGAATGATGGTTTCCAGATTCATCCATGTCCCTACAAAGGACATGAACTCATCATTTTTTATGGCTGCATAGTATTCCATGGTGTATATGTGCCACATTTTCTTAATCCAGTCTATCATTGTTGGACATTTAGCTTGGTTCCAAGTCTTTGCTATTGTGAATAGTGCCACAATAAACATACGTGTCCATGTGTCTTTATGGCAGCATGATTTATAATCCTTTGGGTGTATACCCAGTAATGGGATGGCTGGGTGAAATGGTATTTCTAGTTCTAGATCCCTGAGGAATCACCACACTGACTTTCACAATGGTTTAACTACTTTACAGTCCCACCAACAGTGTAAAAGTGTTCCTATTTCTCCACATCCTCTCCAGCACCTCTTGTTTCCTGACTTTTTAATGATTGCCATTCTAACTGCTGTGAGATGCTATCTCATTGTGGTTTTGGTTTGCATTTCTCTGATGGCCAGTGATGATGAGAATTTTTTCATGTGTTTTTTGGCTGCATAAATGTCTTCTTTTGAGAAGTGTCTGTTCATATCCTTCACCCACTTTTTGATGGGGTTGTTTGTTTTCCTCTTGTAAATTTGTTTGAGTTAATTGTAGATTCTGGATATTAGCCCTCTGTCAGATGAGTAGGTTGCAAAAATTGTCTCCCATTCTGTAGGTTGCCTGTTCACTCTTATGGTAGTTTCTTTTGCTGTGCAGAAGCTCTTTAGTTTAATTAGATCCCATTTGTCAATTTTGGCTTTTGTTTCCATTGCTTTTGGTGTTTTAGACATGAAGTCCTAGCCTATGTCCTGAATAATATTGCCTAGGTTTTCTTCGACGGTTTTGATGGCTTTAGCTCTAATATTTAAGTCTTTAATACATCTTGAATTAATTTTTGTATAAGGTGTAAGGAAGGGATCCAGTTTCAGCTTTCTACATATGGCTAGCCAGTTTTCCCAGCACCATTTGTTAAATAGGGAATCATTTCCCCATTGCTTGTTTTTCTCAGGTTTGTCAAAGATCAGATAGTTGTAGATATGCAGCATTATTTCTGAGGGCTCCGTTCTGTTCCATTGGTCTATGTCTCTGTTTTGGTACCGATACCATGCTGTTTTGGTTACTGTAGCTTTGTAGTATAGTTTGAAGTCAGGTAGCGTGATACCTCCAGCTTTGTTCTTTTGGCTTAGGATAGATGTGGTGATGCGGGCTCTTTTTTGGTTCCATATGAACTTTAAGGTAGTTTCTTCCAATTCTGTGAAGAAAGTCATTGTTAGCTTGATGGGGATGGCATTGAATCTATAAATTACCTTGGGCAGTATGGCCATTTTCACGATATTGATTCTTCCTACACATGACCATGGAATGTTCTTCATTTTGTTTGTATCCTCTTTTATTTCATTGAGGAGTGGTTTGTAGTACTCCTTGAAGAGGTCCTTCACATCCCTTGTAAGGTGGATTCCTAGGTATTTTATTCTCTTTGAAGCAATTGTGAATGGGAGTTCACTCATGATTTGGCTCTCTGTTTGTCTGTTATTGGTGTATAAGAATGCTTGTGAGTTTTGTACATTGATTTTGTATCCTAAGACTTTGCTGAAGTTGCTTATAAGCTTGAGGAGATTTGGGGCTGTGAGGATGGGGCTTTCCAGATATACAATCATGTCATCTGCAAACAGGGACAATTTGACTTCCTCTTTTCCTAATTGAATACCCTTTATTTCCTTCCCCTGCCTGATTGCCCTTGTCAGAACTTCCAACAGTATGTTGAATAGGAGTGGTGAGAGAGGGCATCCCTGTCTTGTGCCAGTTTTCAAAGGGAATGCTTCCAGTTTTTGCCCAAACACTATGGTATTGGCTGTGGGTTTGTCATAGATAGCTCTTATTATTTTGAGATACGTCCCGTCATTACCTAATTTATTGAGAGTTTTTACCATGAAGGTTGTTGAATTTTGTCAAAGGCCTTTTCTGCATCTATTGAGATAATCATGTGGTTTTTGTCTTTGGTTCTGTTTATATGCTGGATTACATTTATTGCTTTTCGTATGTTGAACCAGCCTTGCATCCCAAGGATGAGGTACACTTGATCATTGTGGATAAGCTTTTTGATGTGCTGCTGGATTCGGTTTGCCAGTATTTTATTGAGGATTTTTGCATCGATGTTCATCAGGGATATTGGTCTAAAATTCTCTTTTTTTGTTCTGTCTCTGCCACGCTTTGGTATCACAATGATGCTGGCCTCATAAAATGAGTTAGGAAGGATTCCCTCTTTTTCTGTTGATTGGAATAATTTCAGAAGGAATGGTACCAGCTCCTCCTTGTACATCTGGTGGAATTCGGCTGTGAATCCATCTGGTCCTGGACTTTCTTTGGTTCATAAGCTATTAATTATTGCCTCAATTTCAGAGCCTATTATTGGTCTATTCAGAGATACAGCTTCTTCCTGGTTTAGTCCTGGGAGGGTGTATGTTTCGAGGAATTTATCCATTTCTTCTAGATTTTCTAGTTTATTTGCATAGAGGTGTTTATAGTATTCTCTGATGGTAGTTTGTATATCTGTGGGATCAGTGGTGATATCCCCTTTCTCATTTTTTATTGCGTCTATTTGATTCTTCTCTCTTTTCTTTATTAGTCTTGCTAGTGGTCTATCAATTTTGTTGATGTTTTCAAAAAACCAGCTCCTGGATTCATTAATTTTTGAAGGGTTTTTGTGTCTCTATTTCCTTCAGTTCTGTTCTGATCTTAGTTATTTCTTGCCTTCTGTTGGCTTTTGAGTGTGTTTGCTCTTGCTTCTCTAGTTCTTTTAATTGTGATGTTAGGGTGTCAATTTTAGATCTTTCCTGCTTTCTCTTGTGGGCATTTAGTGCTATACATTTCCCTCTACACACTGCTTTGAATGTGTCCTAGAGATTCTGGTATGTTGTGTCTTTGTTCTCACTGGTTTCAAAGAACATCTTTATTTCTGCCTTCATTTCGTTGCTTACCCAGTAGTCATTCAGAAGCAGGTTGTTCAGTTTCCATGTAGTTGAGTGGTTTTGAGTGAGTTTCTTAATCCTGAGTTCTAGTTTGACTACACTGTGGTCTGAGAGACAGTTTGTTATAATTTCTGTTCTTTTACATTTGCTGAGAAGTGCTTTACTTCCAAGTATGTGGTCAATTTTGGAATAGGTGTGGTGTGGTGCTGAAAAGAATGTATATTCTGTTGATTTGGGGTGGAGAGTTCTGTAGACGTCTATTAGGTCCGCTTGGTGCAGAGCAGAGTTCAACTCCTGGATATCCTTGTTAACTTTCTGTCTCATTGATCTGTCTAATGCTGACAGTGGGGTGTTAAAGTCTCCCATTATTATTGTGTGGGAATCTAAGTCTCCTTGTAGGTCACTAAGGACTTGCTTTATGAATCTGGGTGCTCCTGTGTTGGGTGCATATATATTTAGGATAGTTAGGTCTTCTTGTTGAATTGATCCCTTTACCATTATGTAATGGCCTTCTTTGTCTGTTTTGATCTTTGTGGTTTAAAGTCTGTTTTATCCAAGACTAAGATTACCACCCCTGCCTTTTTTTGTTTTCCATTTGCTTGGTAGATCTTCCTCCATCCCTTTATTTTGAGCCTATGTGTGTCTCTGCACGTGAGATGGGTTTCCTGAATACAGCACACTGATGGGTCTTGACTCTTTATCCAATTTGCCAGTCTGTGTCTTTTAGCATTTAGCCCATTTACATTTAAAGTTAATATTGTTATGTGTGAATGTGATCCTCTCATTATGAGGTAGCTGGTTATTTTGCCCATTAGTTGATGCAGTTTCTTCCTAGCCTTGATTGTCTTAACAATTTGGCATGTTTTTGCAGTGGCTGGTACTGGTTGTTCCTTTCCATGTTTACTGCTTCCTTCAGGAGCTCTTTTAGGGCAGGCCTGGTGGTGACAAAATCTCTCAGCATTTGCTTGTCTGTAAAGGATTTTATTTCTCCTTCACTTTATGAAGCCTAGTTTGGCTGGATATGAGATTCTGGGTTGAAAATTCTTTTCTTTAAGAATGTTGAATATTGACCCCCACTCTCTTCTGGCTTGTAGAGTTTCTGCCGAGAGATCCACTGTTAGTCTGATGGGCTTCCCTTTGTGGGTAACCCGACCTTTTTCTCTGGCTGCCCTTAACATTTTTTCCTTCATTTCAAGTTTGTTGAATCTGACAATTATGTGTCTTGGAGTTGCTCTTCTTGAGGAGTAACTTTGTGGCATTCTCTGTATTTCCTGAATTTGAATGTTGGCCTGCCTTGCTAGATTGGGGAAGTTCTCCTGAATAATATCCTGCGGAGTGTTTTCCAACTTGGTTCCATTCTCCCTATTACTTTCAGTACACCAATCAGATGTAGATTTGGTCTTTTCACATAGTCCCATATTTCTTGGAGGCTTTGTTCATTGCTTTTTATTCTTTTTTCTCTAAACTTCTCTTCTCACTTCATTTCATTCATTTCATCTTCCATCGCTGATACCCTTTCTTCCAGTTGATCGAATTGGCTACTGAGGCTTTTGCATTCATTATGTAGTTCTTGTGCCATGGTTTTCAGCTCCATCAGGTCTTTTAAGGACTTCTCTGCATTGGTTATTCTAGTTATCCATTCATCTAATTTTTTTCAAGGTTTTTATCTTCTTTGCCATTGGTTTGAACTTCCTCCTTTTGCTCGGAGTAGTTTGATCTTCTGAAGCCTTCTTCTCTCAACTTGTCAAAGTCATTCTCCATCCAGTTTTTGTTCCATTGCTGGTGCGGAGCTGCATTCCTTTGGAGGAGGAGAAGCACTCTGATTTTTAGAGTTTCCGGTTTTTCTGCTCTGTTTTTCCCCATTTTTGTGGTTTTATCTACCTTTGGTCTTTGATGATGGTGACATACAGATGGGTTTTTGGTGGGATGACCTTTCTCTTTGTTAGTTTTCCTTCTAACAGTCAGGACCCTCAGCTGCAGGTCTGTTGGAGTTTCCTCAAGGTCCACTCCTGACCCTGTTTGCCTGGGTATTGGCAGCAGTGGCTGAAGAACAGTGGATATTGGTGAACCACAAATGCTGCTGCCTGATCGCTCCTCTGGAAGTTTTGTCTCAGAGGAGTACCTGGCCATGTGTGGTGTCAGTCCACCCCTACTGGTGGGTGCCTCCCAGTTAGGCTACTTGGTGGTCAGAGACCAACTTGAGGAGGCAGTCTGCCCATTCTCAGATCTCCAGCTGCATGCTGGGAGAACCACTACTCTCTTCAAAGCTGTCAGACAGGGACATTTAAGTCTGCAGAGGTTACTGCTGCCTTTTGTTTGTGCCCTTCCCCCAGAGGTGGAGCCTACAAAGGCAGGCAGGCCTCCTTGAGCTGTGGTGGGCTCCACCCAGTTTGAGCTTCCTGGCCACTTTGTTGACCAACTCAAGCCTGGGCAATGGTGGACGCCCCTCCCCCAGCCTCGCTGCCACCTTGCAGTTTGATCTCAGACTGCTGTGCTAGCAATGAGCAAGGCTCTGTGGATGTAGGACCCTCTGAGCCATGTGCAGGATATAATCTCCTGGTGTGCCGTTTGTTAATCCCGTTGGAAAAGTGTAGTATTAGGGTGGGAGTGACCCGATTTTCCAGGTGCCATCTGTCACCCCTTTCTTTGACTAGGAAAGGGAATTCCCTGACCCCTTGTGCTTGTTCTTTTCTTATGATATCTTTGTTTGATTTTGGCATGAGGGTAATACTTGTATCATAGAATGAGTTGGGAATAGTTCTCTCCTATTTTTTAGAAAAAAAAACTTGTGGAGGATTCATGTTAATTCTTCCTTAAATGCGTGATAAAATTCACCAGTAAAGCCATCTTGTCCTGGGTTTTCTTTGTGAGAAATATTTTTATTACTAATTCAATATCTTTACTTATTATACTATGTTCAGATCATCTATTAAGTCAATTTCAGTGGCTTGTGTCTTTCTAAGAATGTATCCATTTTATCTAAGTCATATAATTTGTTGCATATAATGGCTTATAGTATCCCTTATAATCCTTTTCATTTTTTAAGGTCAGTAGTAATGTCTCTCATTCCTGATTTTAGTAATTTGAGTCTTCCATCTCTTTTCTTTCTTGGTCAATCTAGCTAGAGATTTGTCACTTTGGTGATCTTTTTAAAGAATCCTCTTTGGTTTTGTTGTTTTTTTATTCTCTATTCTATTCTCTAATTCATTTGTTTTTGCTCTAGTCCTTGCTATTTCCTTCCTTCTGCTTGCTTTAGGTTTAGTTTGCTCTCATTTTCCAATGTCTTAATGGGAGCAGGTAAAGTGATTAATTTCAGATCTTTCTTCCTTTTTAAATATACACATTAACAACTACAAATTTCCCACTAAGCACTGCTTTAGATGCATTCCATAGGTTATGTTATGATGTCTTCATCTTCCCTTATCTCAAAGTATTTTCTAATTTCCCTCATGATTTCCTCTTAATGCACTGGTTATTTAAAAATGTGTTGTTTAATTTTTACATATTTGTGAATTTCCCAAATTTCCTTCTATGATGATTTTTAATTTCATTACATTCTGGAGAACATACTTTGTCTAATTCTTTTAAGTGTATTGAGTCTTGTTTTAGGTTACATATGGTCTAACCTCAAGAATGTTGCATGTGCACTTGAAAAGAGTGTATATTCTGCTGTTGTTGAAGAGAATATAGTATAAATGTAGTTAGGTTTACACCTAAAAGAGTACTGTTATGTATACTTGCTTTATAGCATTGTGTAAGTCTTGTTTTCTTGATGAGCTTCTGCCTACCTGTCTATCCATTATTGAGAGTGAGATACCAAAGTCTCCACCTATTGTTGTCAAATTGTTTATTTCTCTTTTCTACTGTGTTAGTTTTTACTTCATATAGTTTGGGGCTCTGTTATTAGATGCACATAGGTCTATAATTATTATAGACATTATAACATGGGATTAGCACCCTTATAAAAGGTAAAATCCCCAGAGAGATCTCTTGCCCCTTTCACCATCTGGGATTATAGCAAATGGCCATCTAGAACCAGGAAATGGACCCTTGTGCCAGATATCAAATCTGCCAATGCCTTGATCCAAGCCTTCAGAACTATAAGAAAAAAATTTCTATTGTTTATAAGCAGCTCATGGTGAATTGATTGGTATACCCTTATAAAATATCCTTCTCCATCTCTAATAGCAATTTATGCCTTAAATTTCATTTTGTCTGATATTACTATTAGCTAAAGTATAGCCACTTCAGCTTTTCCTTTGCTTACTGTTTGTGTGGTTTATATTTTTTCAAGCTTTTCCTTTCAACTTATTTGGGTCTTTGAATCTAAAGGATGGCTCTTGTAGACAACATATATTTGGATCATGTTTTTATATCTAGTACAACTTAATACAGCAGTACATAGGAATAGCACTTCTATATAGCTGTATTCCCTCTCTTCTATTTTGTGTTGTTATTGCCATACAAATTACATCTTTACACTTTGCATATCCATCAATACATATTTATAATTATTGCTTTATGCAGTTGTCTTTTAAATCAGATAAGAGGAAAACAAGTAACAAGATAAAATATGGAAATACTGTCTTCTATATTTATCTATGTAGTTAGGTTTACCAAAGATTTTGCTTTCTTTATGTGAATTCAAATTACTGTCTGGTGGGATTTTATTTCAGCCTGAAGGACTTCTTTTTTTCTTTTTTTATTATTATTATACTTTAAGTTTTAGGGTACATGTGCACAACGTGCAGGTTAGTTACATGTGTATACATGTGCCATGCTGGTGTGCTGCACCCATTAACTCGTCATTTAGCATTAGGTATATCTCCTAATGCTATCCCTCCCCCCTCTCCCCACCCCACAACTGTCCCCAGAGTGTGATGTTCCCCTTCCTGTGTCCATGCATTCTCATTGTTCAATTCCCACCTATGAGTGAGAACATGCGGTGTTTGGTTTTTTGTCCTTGCGATAGTTTACTGAGAATGATGATTTCCAATTTCATCCATGTCCCTACAAAGGACATGAACTCATCATTTTTTATGGCTGTATAGTATTTCATGGTGTATATATGCCACATTTTCTTAATCCAGTCTATCATTGTTGGACATTTGGGTTGGTTCCAAGTCTTTGCTATTGTGAATAGTGCCACAATAAACATACATGTGAATGCGTCTTTATAGCAGCATGATTTATAGTCCTTTGGGTATATACCCAGTAATGGGATGGCTGGGTTAAATGGCATTTCTAGTTCTAGATCCCTGATCTTTGACAAACCTGAGAAAAACAAGCAATGGGGAAAGGATTTCCTATTTAATAAATGGTGCTGGGAAAACTGGCTTGCCATATGTAGAAAGCTGAAACTGGATCGCTTCCTTACACCTTGTACAAAAATTAATTCAAGATGGATTAAAGACTCAAACGTTAGACCCAAAACCATAAAAACCCAGAAGAAAACCTAGGCAATACCATTCAGGACATAGGCATAGGCAAGGATTTCATGTCTAAAACACCAAAAGCAATGGCAACAAAAGACAAAATTGACAAATGGGATCTAATTAAACTAAAGAGCTTCTGCACAGCAAAAGAAATTACCATCAGAGTGAACAGGCAACCTACAAAGTGGGAGAAAATTTTCGCAACCTACTCATCTGACAAAGGGCTAATAACCAGAATCTACAATGAACTCAAACAAATTTACAAGAAGAAAACAAACAACCCCATCAAAAAGTGGGTGAAGGATATGAACAGACACTTCTCAAAAGAAGACATTTATGCAGCCAAAAAACACATGAAAAAATGCTCACCATCACTGGCCATCAGAGAAATGCAAATCAAAACCACAATGAGATACCATCTCACACCAGTTAGAATAAAGGACTTCTTTAGTATTTATTAAAGAGAAGACCTGCTAACAATAAAGCTTCTCTGTTTTTGTTTGCCTAGGAACATTTTAATGTCTCCTTCATTTTCAAAGGGTAATTTCATTGGACAGGGAATTCGTGATTGACAGTCTTTTCTTTTCTGTACTTTGAATATTTTATCCAACTTCCTCCTGACCTTTATCACTTCTGATGAGAAATCAGCTGTTTGGCTAAGGAGAATCTCTTAGCTATGATGAGTCACTTCTCTTTTGCTGCTTTCAAGATTCTCCCACTGTGTTTGGTTTTTGACAGTTTGATTATGATCCCATAATCTCTTTCAATTTATCCTATTTAGAATTTTAGGAGATTTTTGGATGCATAGTTTAATTTTTGGACAAATTTTAAGCCATCCTTTTTTTCCAAATATTCTTTCTGCCTCTTTCTTTTCTCTCCCTCTGGAAACCCTCTTATACATATGGTGGTATTTTTAATGGTGCTTGATAGGTCTCTGAGGTCCTGTTCATTTTTTCTTCCTTTCTTTCTCTTTCTGCTCCTCAGACTAGATGATTTCCATTGGCCTACCCAAGTTCACTTCTTCTTTATTCTGCCTACTCAAATCTGCTACTGAGCTCCTCTAGTGAATTTGTCATTTCAATTAGTGTACATTTTACCTCTAGAATTTTCATTTGGTTCTTTTTTATAATTTCTATCTCTTTATTGAAATGATCTATTTGCTGAGATATCATTCTGATAATTTTCTTTAGTTCTTAGACATAGTTTTATTTCCTTAAATATATTCAAAATAACTAATTGAAAGTTTTTGCTTAGTAAGTCTGAAGTCTAGGCTTCCCCAGAGACAGTTTCTGTCAACTGCATTAGTCCCCTATGTAAGGGCTGTACTTTCTTGTTTTTTCATGTATTATATTTTTCTTGTTATTGAAAACTGAATTATACATATATATACATGCCTATATATAAGTATACATGTGTGTGTGTTCACATGTGTGTGTGCACACACTATTGTCAAAAATTTGTGTCCTTCCCAAAATTCATATGTTAAAACTTAATCTCCAATGTGAAGGTGTTTGAAGGTTGGGGCTTTGAGAGATGATTAGATCATGAAAGTGGAGCTCTCACTAATAAGATGGGCACCTTATCTAAGAGATCCCCCCAGAGAGATCCCTTGCTCCTTCCCCCATGATAGATTATAACAAGAAGATGACCATCTAGAACCAGAAAGTGGACCCTCACCAGACACCAAATCTGCTGGTGCCTTGATCTTACATTTTCCAAATTTCAGAACTTCAAGGAACAAATTCCTATGGTTTATAAGTGACTTAGTCTATGGTATTTTGTTAAATCAGCCCAAATAGACTACTACAATGTGGCAATCCTGGAAATCATATTTCTTTCCATCTCCAATGTTTATGATTGTTACTGTTTGTTGTTTTGTCGTTCTTGGGATTAGCATTTTTTAAACTAATTTTATGAGACATATTATTTTCTTATATGCAGCCACTGAAGCCCCTGCTCAATAAGATTATTGATAAGTTAATAATTATACAGAGATATCTTTAGAACAAATAAGTCTTACAGTCTTTGCTAAGGGATTCTTTGTGTGTCTTGGGGCATGCCTTCAATACTCAGCCAGATAGCTTAAAACTTTTTTCTTTTTTTGAGACAGAGTCTTGCTCTGTCACCCAGGCTGGAGTGCAGTGGCACTATCTCAGCTTACTGCAAGCTCCACCTCCCGGGTTACACCATTCTCCTTCTTCAGGCTCCTGAGTAGCTGGGATTACAGGTGCCCACCACCTCATCTGGCTAATTTTTTGTATTTTTAGTAGAAACTGGGTTTCACCGTGTTAGCCAGGATGGTCTCAATCTCCTGACCTCATGATCTGCCTGCCTCAGTCCCCCAAAGTGCTGGGATTACAGGTGTGAGCTACCACACTCAGCCAAGCTTAAAACTTTACCTTAGCCTTCATATCCTGCTTTCACAGGATCACAAGGTAAGCCAGAGGTGATAGCTTATGCCTTCCTGGGTCTTTCTTGAACATGTACAGAGTCCTGGGCATATGCACAGTCCTGATACTCATTCCTCAGCTTTTGTATTTAAGCCTTTTGGTTAGCCTGTTTTTTTTCTTACTTAATCCACTGCCTAAAGCTGCTGCAATGTTTAAGAATTGCTTCTGACTGTTTTTGACAAATTTCTCCACGAAAAATGCTCCAAGTCAAGTCAAATAAAGGTATATTTGTGAGTTAGGTCTTCCAGAGAATGACCACATAGGTCAAATAATAGCAATTATCTGGGTCTTCGAAAAAGCTCCAATCTCGTTCTGCCCCTCCCAGTGGTTGCCAAGCTGCTGGGTATCAATGTGATTGCAGGCTGTTGTTTTTCAAGACTACAGAGAAGCTGTGCAGGGAAAATGAAAACAGGGTAAATTAAAATACCAATAATGCTTCTTGTTGTTGAGAGTTGGCCATTTTTCTTGCATAAGTACTCCTTGAACTGATGCGAGCTTTTGCTTAATTTCCAGAATTCTGAAAATGTTGACTCTGACCATTCTTTCCAGTATTCTCCTTGCTCTAATGGAGGAGAGAATTTTAAAGGTTTTTACTACACTTTTGTAACTGGCATTGACCTACAAAGCACTATGTGCTAGGATTCATGCCCAATTTCAGTGTTTGAAATACATTAACTTTAATTTTAACTATATTTCTGAACGTATATATTCTTAGTCTCAATTTAGAGTTAAAGAAACAATCACAGGAGCAACATAGAAGAATAGAAAGCTCCATTGTCTCATGCCCTATTCCCTGCAAGGACACATATTTAACAACTATCTATGGAGAAAACACACCTTCATAAGAACCAAAAATCAGGTGAGCACCCATTTACCTGGTAGAGGCACCTCTACCTTTGGAAATGGGAAGAAAGAGTGGGAAGAACTGTATCTTGTGGCTTAAGTGCTGGCTCAGCCATAGTACATAGAACAACATGTAATCTTCTAAGGTTTTTGACCCTAATCCCTGACTCCCAGATGGCACCTCTGGACCCACCCAGGGCCTGGGAACTTGCCACCCTGAAAAGAAGGACACAGGTATGGCAGGATTTGCCACCTGCTTGTTATAGATCCCCAGGGCCTTGAATGAATACTTCCCCAGGAAGTGGTCATGGCAGGCCTTGAGCAAGACCCAGTGCTGTATTGGTTTCAGGTCTAACCCAGTGCAATCATAGTGGTGGTGGCCACATCCACCTCCATCATTAGGGAGCCCACAACAGAGGAAGAAAGATTCCATCTGAGAAAAGTAAGGGAAGACAACAAGAGTCTCTGCCTGGTAATCTGAGGAATTCTCACCAATCTTGTCCAAGACATCAAGGTGCTACCTCTATAGGTCTCCTTTATGCAGTTGTCTTTTAAATCAGATAAGATGAAAACAAGTAACAAGCCAAAATATGCAAATACCATCTTCTATATTTACCTATGTAGTTTCATTTACCAGAGCTTTTGCTTTCTTCATGTGAATTCAAATTATTCTCTGGTGGAATTTTATTCAGTGTTACTGGGCTTGTACAGCAGATACAGTTTAGATGACAACATCCAAATCCTTTCAAATATCTGGAAAGCCTTTCCAAGAAGGATGGGTACAAACAAGCCCAGAACATAAAGACTACAATAAATACCCAACTCTTCAATGCCCAGACACAGATGGACATCTACTGTCAACACCACCATCTAGGAAAACAAGATCCCACCAAATGAAATAAGTAAGGCATCAGGGACCAATCCTGAAGAAATAAAGACATGTGACCCTTCAGGCAAACAATTTAAAATTGCTGTTTTGAGAAAACTCAAAGAAATTCAAGGTAACACAGAAAAGAAATTCAAAACTCTATCAAAAAAACTTAACAAAGAGATTGAAATAATTTTAAAAGAATGAAGCAAAAATTCTCGAGCTGAAAAATGTATTTGGCATACTGAAGAATGCAAAAAAGTCTTCTTTTTTTTTTATAAAAAATGTAATTTTCCAATTATTAGATATATGTAAACACTGATAGATGACTTTATTAGTATGCATGTTTGAGAAAAATAAGGGAAATTGCTCAACTTAATAGGTGTGAAGGCAACAGAATTACATTGTCAAAAGCACTGTGGTTACATGTATTTTTAATGCTTTAGAAGCACCTGTCAGCAAGAACATCTGCATCCTAATAGTCTATTTTAAGAAAATTTAAATCATCCTTATGCTGACGAATACAGCCATATTCCAAATATGTGCATCTCATAAAAGCTAATACATATTCAATGACTCATTAAAATCAAACATTTTAAAACATCGTGATTCAGGACCCAATACATACTTTTAAAATAACATTTCGTAATGAAAGGATTGTATACTGTACCACATGCAAATATTTATTTCATTTAATAATGATGATCACTATAAAAATGCCTCTTAATCAAAGGAAAGAAATCATTATACCATGTGTTTGGCATAATTATTTATACCTCTCTATGAAATTCTATGTTTGTTTGAGATACTTGAAAATTACCATGTATTATATATAATGGTTATAATGTTCTTGAAGATTGTAAATCAAATTTTATTTTATTTATTTTTTTATTATACTTTAAGTTTTAGGGTACATGTGCACATTGTGCAGGTTAGTTACATATGTATACATGTACCATGCTGGTGCGCTGCACCCACTAACTCATCATCTAGCCTTAGGTATATCTCCCAGTGCTATCCCTCCCCCCTCCCCCCACCCCACCACAGTCCCCAGAGCGTGGTATTCCCCTTCATGTGTCCATGTGATCTCATTGTTCAATTCCCACCTATGAGTGAGAATATACGGTGTTTGGTTTTCTGTTCTTGCGATAGTTTACTGAGAATGACGATTTCCAATTTCATCCATGTCCCTATAAAGGATATGAACTGATCATTTTTTATGGCTGCATAGTATTCCATGGTGTATATGTGCCACATTTTCTTAATCCAGTCTATCATTGTTGGACATTTGGGTTGGTTCCAAGTCTTTGCTATTGTGAATAATGCCACAATAAACATACGTGTGCATGTGTCTTTATAGCAGCATGATTTATAGTCCTTTGGGTATATACCCAGTAATGGGATGGCTGGGTCAAATGGTATTTCTAGATCTAGATCCCTGAGGAATCGCCACACTGACTTCTACAATGGTTGAACTAGTTTACAGTCCCACCAACAGTGTAAAAGTGTTCCTATTTCTCCACATCCTCTCCAGCACCTGTTGTTTCCTGACTTTTTAATGATTGCCATTCTAACTGGTGTGAGATGATATCTCATAGTGGTTTTCTGGGATGCAAGGCTGGTTCAATATACGCAAATCAATAAATGTAATCCAGCATATAAACAGAGCCAAAGACAAAAACCACATGATTATCTCAATAGATGCAGAAAAAGCCTTTGACAAAATTCAACAACCCTTCATGCTAAAAACTCTCAATAAATTAGGTATTGATGGGACGTATTTCAAAATAATAAGAGCTATCTATGACAAACCCACAGCCAATATCATACTGAATGGGCAAAACCTGGAAGCATTCCCTTTGAAAACGGGCACAAGACAGGGATGCCCTCTCTCACCACTCCTATTCAACATAGTGTTGGAAGTTCTGGCCAGGGCAATCAGGCAGGAGAAGGAAATAAAGAGTATTCAATTAGGAAAAGAGGAAGTCAAATTGTCCCTGTTTGCAGATGACATGATTGTTTATCTAGAAAACCCCATCGTCTCAGCCCAAAATCTCCTTAAGCTGATAAGCAACTTCAGCAAAGTCTCAGGATACAAAATCAATGTACAAAAACCACAAGCATTCTTATACACCAACAACAGACAAACAGAGAGCCAAATCATGAGTGAACTCCCATTCACAATTGCTTCAAAGAGAATAAAATACCTAGGAATCCAACTTACAAGGGATGTGAAGGACCTCTTCAAGGAGAACTACAAACCACTGCTCAAGGAAATAAAAGAGGATAGAAACAAATGGAAGAACATTCCATGCTCATGGGTAGGAAGAATCAATATCGTGAAAACGGCCATACTGCCCAAGGTAATTTACAGATTCAATGCCATCCCCATCAAGCTAACAATGACTTTCTTCACAGAATTGGAAAAAACTACTTTAAAGTTCATATGGAACCAAAAAAGAGCCCGCATCACCAAGTCAATCCTAAGCCAAAAGAACAAAGCTGGAGGCATCACACTACCTGACTTCAAACTATACTACAAGGCTACAGTAACCAAAACAGCATGGTACTGGTACCAAAACAGAGATATAGATCAATGGAACAGAACAGAGCCCTCAGAAATAACGCCGCATACCTACAACTATCTGATCTTTGACAAACCTGAGAAAAACAAGCAATGGGGAAAGGATTCCCTATTTAATAAATGGTGCTGGGAAAACTGGCTAGCCATATGTAGAAAGCTGAAACTGGATCCCTTCCTTACACCTTATACAAAAATCAATTCAAGATGGATCAAAGATTTAAACGTTAGAACTAAAACCATAAAAACCCTAGAAGAAAACCTAGGCATTACCATTCAGGACATAGGCATGGGCAAGGACTTCATGTCCAAAACACCAAAAGCAATGGCAACAAAAGCCAAAATTGACAAATGGGATCTAATTAAACTAAAGAGCTTCTGCACAGCAAAAGAAACTACCATCAGAGTGAACAGGCAACCTACAACATGGGAGAAAATTTTCGCAACCTACTCATCTGACAAAGGGCTAATATCCAGAATCTACAATGAACTCAAACAAATTTACAAGAAAAAAACAAACAACCCCATCAAAAAGTGGGCGAAGGACATGAACAGACACTTCTCAAAAGAAGACATTTATGCAGCCAAAAAACACATGAAAAAATGCTCATCATCACTGGCCATCAGAGAAATGCAAACCAAAGTCTTCTAATAGCAGAATTGCTCAAGCAGAAGAAAGAATTGGTGAGCTGGAGGACAAACTATTGAAAAAAAATACAGTCAGAGGAAACAAAAGAAAACAAAATACAAAACAATGAAGGACACATACAGGATCTAGAAAGTAGCCTCAGAGGGGAAATCTAAGAGTTATTGGCCTTAAAGGGAAGGTGGAGAAAGAGATAGAGGTAGGAAGTTTATTCAAAGGGATAATAACAGAGAACTTCCCAAACCTAGAGAAAGATATCAATATTCAACTATAAGAAGGTTATAGAACACCAAGAAATTTAACCCAAAGACCACTTCAAGGCATTTAATAATCAAACTCCCTAAGGTCAAGTATAAAGTAAGGACCTGGCAGGAAGGTTGGAGCCAAGGTGGCTGAATAGGAAGAGCTCCAGTCTACACCTCCCAGTGTGAGCAATGCAGAAGACGGGTGATTTCTGCATTTCCAACTGAGGTACCAGGTTCATCTCACTGGAGAGTGTTGGAAAATGGGTGCAGGGCAGTGGGTGCAGCACACCGAGCATGAGCCAAAGAAGGGCAAGGCATCACCTCACCCAGGAAGTGCAAAGGGTCAGGGAATTCCCTTTCCTAGTCAAAGGAGTGACAGATGGCACCTGAAAAATCGGGTCACTCCCACCCTAATACTGTGCTTTTCCAATGGTCTTAGCAAATGGCACACCAGGAGATCGTATCCCACGCCTGGCTCACAGGGTCCTGTGCCCACTGAGGCTCAATCATTGCTAGCACAGCAGTCTGAGCTCAAACTGTAAGGCAGCAGTGAGGCTGGGGGAGAGGCGCCCACTATTGCTGAGGCTTCAGTAGGTAAACAAAGCGGCCAGGAAGCTCAAACTGGGTGGAGACTACCGCAGCTCAAGGAGGCCTGCCTGACTCTGTAGACTCCACCTCTGGGGGCAGGGCAGAGCCAAACAAAAGGCAGCAGAAACCTCTGCAGACTTAACTGTCCCTGTCTGACAGCTTTCAAGAGAGTAGTGGTTCTTCCAGCATGCAGCTGCAGATCTGACAATGGACAGACTGCCTCCTCAAGTGGGTCCCTGATCCCTGAGTAGCCTAACTGGGAGGCACCCCCCAGTAGGGGCAGATGGACGCCTCACACGGCCAGGTACTCCTCTGAGACAAAACTTCCAGTGGAGCGATCAGGCAGCAACATTTGCTGTCCACCAATATCCGCTGTTCTGCAGCCTCCACTGCTGATACCCAGGAAAACAGGGTCTGGGGTGGACCTCCAGCAAACTCCAACAGACCTGCAGCTGAGGGTCCTGACTGTTAGAAGGAAAACTAACAAACAGAAAGGATATCCACACCAAAACCCCATCTGTACGTCACCATTGTCAAAGACCAAAGGTAGATAAAACCACAAAGATGGGGAAAAAACAGAGCAGAAAAACTGGAAACTCTAAAAATCAGAGCACCTATCCTCCTCCAAAGGAACACAGCTTCTCTCCAGCAACAGAACAGAACTGGATGGAGAATAACTTTGATGAGTTGAGAGAAGGCTTCAAATGATCAAACTACTCCAAGCTAAAGGAAGAATTTCGAACCCATGGCAAAGAAGTTTAAAACCTTGAAAAACAAATTAGACAAATGGCTAACTAGAATAACAAATGCAGAGAAGTCCTTAAAGGACCAGATGGAGCTGAAAGCCATGGCACAAGAACTACATGACGAATGCACAAAGGCTCAGTAGTTGATTCAATCAACTGGAAGAAAGGGTATCAGTGATGGAAGATCAAATGAATGAAATGAAGCGAGAAGAGAAGTTTACAGAAAAAAGAATAAAAAGAAATGAGCAAAGCCTCCACTGTCAACATTAGACAGATCAACGTGACAGAAAGTTAACAAGGATATCCAGGAACTGAACTCAGCTCTGCACTAAGAGGTCCTAATAGACATCTACAGAACTCTCCACCCCAAATCAACAGAATACACATTCTTTTCAGCAACACACCACACCTATTCCCAAATTGATCACATAGTTGGAAGTAAAGCACTCCTCAGCAAATGTAAAGAACAGAAATTATAACAAATTGTCTCTCAGACCACAGTGCAATCAAACTAGAACTCAGGATTAAGAAACTCACTCAAAACCACTCAACTACATTGAAACTGAACAACCTGCTCCTGAATGACTACTGGGTACATAACTAAATGAAGGCAGAAATAAAGATGTTCTTTGAAACCAATGAGAACAAAGACAAAACATACCAGAATCTCTGGGACACATTCAAAGCAGTGTGTAGAGGGAAATTTATAGCACTAAATGCCCACAACAGAAAGCAGGAAAGACCTAAAATTGACACCCGAACATCACAATTAAAAGAACTAGAGAAGCAAGAGCAAATACATTCAAAAGCTAGCAGAAGGCAAGAAATAACTAAGATCAGAGCAGAACTGAAGGAAATAGAGACACAAAAAACTCTTCAAAAAATCAATGAATCCAGGAGCTGGTTTTTTGAAAAGAGCCACAAAATTGATAAACCGCTGGCAAGACTAATGAAGAAAAGAGAGAAGAATCAAATAGACGCAATAAAAAATGAGAAAGGGGATATCACCACCAATTCCACAGAAATACAAATTACCATCAGAGAATACTATAAACACCTCTATGCAAAATAAACTAGAAAATCTGGAAGAAATGGATAAATTCCTTGACACATACACCCTCCCAAGACTAAAGCAGGAAGAAGTTGAATCTCTGAATAGACCAATAACAGGCTCTGAAATTGAGGCAATAATTAATAGCTTACCAACCAAAAAAAGTCCAGGACCAGAAGGATTCACAGCCGAATTCTACCAGAGGTACAAGGAGGAGCTGCTGGTACCATTCCTTCTGAAACTATTCCAATCAATAGAAAAAGAGGGAATCCTCCCTAACTCATTTTATGAGACCAAAATCATCCTGATACCAAAGCCTGGCAGAGACACAACAAAAAAAGAGAATGTTGGACCAATATCCCTGATGAACATTGATGCAAAAATCCTGAATAAAATTTGGCAAACTGAATCCGGCAGCACATCAAAAAGCTTATCCACCATGATCAAGAGGGCTTCGTACCTGGGATGCAAGACTGGTTCAACAGAAGCAAATCAATAAATGTAATCCAGCATATAAACAGAACCAAAGAAAAAACCACATGATTATATCAATAGATGCAGAAAAGGCCTTTGATGAAATTCAACAACCAACGCTTCATGCTAAAAACTCTCAATAAATTAGGTATTCATGGGACATATCTCAAAATAATAAGAGCTATCTATGACAAACCCACAGCCAGTATCATACTGAATGGACAAAAACTGGAAGCATTCCCTTTGAAAACTGGCATAAGACAGGGATGCCCCCTCTCACCACTCCTATTCAACATAGTGTTGGAAGTTCTGACCAGGGCAATCAGGCAGGAGAAGGAAATAAAGTGTATTCAATTAGGAAAAGAGGAAGTCAAATTGTCTCTGTTTGCAGATGACATGACTGTATATCTAGAAAAACCCTTCATTTCAGCCCAAAATCTCCTTAAGCTGGTAGGCAACTTCAGCAAAGTTTCAGGATACAAAATCATGTGCAAAAGTCACAAGCATTCTTATACACCAATAACAGACAAACAGAGAGCCAAATCATGAGAGAACTCCCATTGGCAATTACTTCAAAGGAAATAAAATACCTAGGAATCCAACTTACAAGGGACGTGAAAGACCTCTTCTAAGGAGAACTACAAACTGCTGCACAATGAAATAAAAAAGGATACAAACAAATGGAAGAACATTCCATGCTCGTGGGTAGGAAGAAGCAATATCATGAAAATGGCCATGCTGCCCAAGGTAATTTATAGATTCAATGCCATCCCCATCGAGCTAACAATGACTTTCTTCACAGAATTGGACAAAACTACTTTAAAGTTCATATGGAACCAAAAAAGAGCCTACATTGCCAATTCAATCCTAAGCCAAAAGAACAAAGCTGGACGCATCACGCTACCTGACTTCAAACTATACTATAAGGCTACAGTAACCAAAACAGCATGGTACTGGTACCAAAACAGAGATATAGACCAATGGAACAGAACAGAGCCCTCAGAAATAATGCCGCATATCTACAACTATCTGATCTTTGACAAACCTGACAAAAACAAGAAATGGGGAAAGGATTCCCTATTTAATAAATGGTGCTGGGAAAACTGGCTTGCCATATGTAGAAAGCTGAAACTGGATCGCTTCCTTACACCTTATACTAAAATTAATTCAAGATGGATTAAAGACTTAAATGTTAGACCTAAAACCAACAAAACCCTAGAAGAAAACCTAGGCAATACTATTCAGGACATATACATGGGCAAGGACTTCATGTCTAAAACACCAAAAGCAATGGAAACAAAAGCCAACATTGACAAATGGGATCTAATTAAATGAAGGAGCTTCTGCACAGCAAAAGAAACTACCATCAGAGTGAACAGGCAACCTACAGAATGGGAGAAAATGTTTGCAATCTACTCATCTGACAAAGGGCTAATATCCAGAATCTACAATGAACTCAAACAAATTTACAAGAAAAAAAAAAAACCCATGAAAAAGTGGGCGAAGGATATGAACAGACACTTCTCAAAAGAAGACATTCATGCAGCCAAAAGACACATGAAAAAATGCTCATCATCACTGGCCATCAGAGAAATGCAAATCAAAACCACAATGAGATACCATCTCACACCAGTTAGAATGGCGATCATTAAAAAGTCAGGAAACAACAGGTGCTGGAGAGGATGTGGAGAAATAGGAACAGTTTTACACTGTTGGTGGGACTGTAAACTAGTTCAACCATTGTGGAAGTCAGTGTGGTGATTCCTCAGGGATCTAAAACTAGAAATACCATTTGACCCAGCCATCCCATTACTGGGTATATACCCAAAGTATTATAAAACATGCTGTTATAAAGATACATGCACACGTATGTTTATTGCGGCACTATTCACAATAGCAAAGACTTGGAACCAACCCAAATGTCCAACAACGATAGACTGGATTAAGAAAATGTGGCACATATACACCATGGAATACTATGCAGCCATGAAAAAGGGTGAGTTCATGTCCTTTGTAGGGACATGGATGAAGCTGGAAACCATCATTCTCAGCAAACTATTGCAAGGACAAAAAACCAAACACCGCATGTTCTCACTCACAGGTGGGAATCGAACAATGAGAACACATGGACACAGGAAGGGGAACATCACACACCAGGGCCTGTTGTGAGGTGTGGGGAGGGGGGAGCGATAGCATTAGGAGATATATCTAATGTTAAATGATAAGTTAATGGGTGCAGCACACCAACATGGCACATGTATACATATGTAACTAACCTGCACATTGTGCACATGGACCCTAAAACTTAAAATATAATAAAAATAAATAAATAAATAAATGTAAAAAAAAGAAGAAAGACCCTAAAAGCACCAAGACAAAAGAATCAAATAACATAACAATGGAGCTCCTATATGTCTTGCAGTAGACTTTTCAATGGAAACCTTACAGGCCAGAAGAGAGTGGCATAACATATTTAAAGTGCTGATGGAAAAAAAACCTTCTACCATAGAATAGGATATCTAGCAAAAATATCCTTCAAGCATGAAGGAGAAATACAAACTTTTCCAGACAAACAGAAGTTGAGGGATTTCATGAAGAGCAGACCTGTCCAACAAGACATTCTAAAGGGAGTAAGTACTTCAGTTAGAAAGAAAAAAATGTTAATGAGCAATAAGTAATCATCTGAAGGTACAAAACTCACGGGTCACAGAAAGTACACAGAAAACACACAATATTATAACACTATAACTGTGGTATATGAACTAGTCTTATCCTAAGTAGAAAAACTAAACAATGAGCCAATCAAAAATAATAACTGCAACAACTTTTGAGGACATAGACAGTACAATAAGATATAAATAGTAGAAGCAACAAAAAGTTACAAAGCAGAGGGACAAAGTTAAGATGTGGAGTTCTTAATTGTTTTCTTTTTGCTTGTTTGTTTGTACAAACAGTGTTAAGTTGTTATCAGCCTAAAATAATGGGTTATAAGATAGTATTTGCAAGCCTCATGGTAACCTCAGACCAAGAAACATACAATGGGCCCATAAAAATTAAAAAGCAAGAAACAAATCATATCACCAGAGAAAATTATTTTCACTAATGAAGAATAGGAAGGAAAGAAAGAACTGACACAGGAGCTAGAAAGAAATTATTTAGGCATATAGTGAGCATAAGGGAGTCATTGGTAAAGTTTCCATTGTTCATAAAAAGCAGCCCCAAAATCATTTCTTTTCTAACAAAGAACAGCCTGAAAAATCAAGATGCAGACATAGAAAAGCAAGCTGGAAGTTTGCATGGGTGAATGCTGGCAGCTGTGCCAATAGGAAAAGTCTACCTGGGGGCCAGTCATAGTCAACATGGAGGCTCCATCTTCCCTTTTCTTTGTCAACCACATGTGCAGTAAAGAAGCAGGCAACATGGCACTGACCAGGTAGAGAACCCCTTTGTATAATAAAAGATTATGGTGGGCAGCCAGCTTCTTCACATACCAATCTTTTGTGCCCTATGTAAATCAGACACTGCCTCCTCAACCTCATCTATAAAACCCCATGCAATTCACCACAGAACTGGAGGACCTACTCAGGAGTCCCTTTGTCTCTGCAGAAGAGAGAGTTTTTCTCTCACCTATTAAACCTCTGCTTTTAGACTCACTTCTTGTGTGTGCACACCCTCAATTTCCTTGGAGTGAGACAATGAATGTAGGGTATTTACCTGAGACAAGCAATACTGGTTCATTTTGGGGCCCCATCTGGGATGCAGGTATAATCATCAGAAGGGTGAGTATAGGAATGGACCATAACTCTGTCCTTGCATTTTGAGGCTCTTGGCCTCCATTTTAATATCAAATCAAACCAAATACGAGCCCTTGTCAGCCATTTAAAAATGGTTAGATTGGCTGCCAGCCTTACAAGACAAGGGGACAAGCTTGCTGGGGAGATCATGAAGAATCCCCCAGTACCCTCAGGCTGCTGGGCATATTGGCTATGTTTCAAAACAGTTTCCCTTCCTGGAGGACCCAGCCATCGTATGGAGCTTAAAGAGGTCCTGGAGCAACAAAGAATTTCTGGCCAGGACTACACCCTGGTGTTATCTGAAGGCTTCTGGACCAACTCCAGCCTTCAACTTCCCAACCAACCATCAGCAATAGGATCTCCAGCTTTTCTATCACAAATTTCCTCCTTTCCTATCTGTGATTGCCATGTCTCCTATCATCTCTATATATGCAATGCTCTGGAAATTTTTACAGTTCAGTGAAATAGTCCTGTTAGGAAAGGTCAGCAAATGCCATAGTAACAGGGAATATAGCTTAAGAGAATGCTGTTTTTGTGATTTTCTAGGAACAGAGGATCTTCCCCCATACCCTACAGTGAGCATCTCTCTCTGCACTTGGTCTGGAAAGCACATGCTCAACGGCGCCACCTACAGGAACAGGAATCCTCTCCATGAGGCACATTGTTGGCCCTTTTCCGAAACACTTTAGCTTCCCAATTTTCCTCCCTTTTTGTGCCCCTCTACTAGAGACCAAGCTTTATGCCTTTTCTGTGAAAGGGAAAAACTCTGCCTTCAACAGTGATGAGGAAAATGTCCTCCAAAATCAAATTTTAGTCTCGATAGTGTCCCATCAGCAGGAAAACCACCATTTGGTCCCTACATTCTTTTAAGGCACCTACTCTGTCTCCAATTAAAATGGTACTTACATAGTAAGGAGACTTAAGAGTAAATGCTTTGGCATGGGCCACAATAACAGGATATAGAGTTCAATCTAATACACCCCCTCCATTAAAGGGGCCTTGCCCAAATGCAACTATTACATAGTCTTTTTCAAGATCCCTCTTTCTGGGAGCCACACAGGTCACGTCAGTCTAAGAAGTCAATGGGAAATCATAAACGGAAGACTAGAGTTGCATGGGCAAGTGTGAGTAATCCCAATTGCTTAGTTCCTCCACTTCCATGGCTGGGGGTCATGCCTGCAACCATGGACAATATGTTTAACAATGTGCTGGAGTCCCAGGAATCAAGGAGGGAAAAGAGTAGGGGGTAAACTCCTGCTGTCTTCCCCTCCACCTTGGGTCACAACAAAAGGAAGGAGGTTACAGGGATGCCTTTTTTCTGGCTTCTCTTTCTAGGTGGGTAAAAAACCATCTTCAACCTGTACTCCTCTGAAGTGCATTCTGAAGCACTGGGATTCCTTTGACCTTGAGGCTTTGGAAAAAAAAGCAGCTCATTTTCTTTTGCACCCTGTTACTAGACCTTTGCAAGCACTGCACAATCGACTCAGCTCTTTTAGCAGTCATATCAGGTGGGCCCAGTGGGAATGATTCCTCAAAACTAAAGAAACAGACCCCCCACAGGAAACCCTTAAATGCAACTTCCAGATGCCCCAGCCATTCCTGTTCCCCCTATTTACATCATCAGCTATTTCAGTTCCACCACACAAATCCCAGACTTTTCTGTGGTATTTTTCCTTCCTCCTGACATGGTTTAAAATGGTTCCTATCTCTTCTTTTATAATGTTCCTCCAAACTTGGAAAAGTTAATTTCCCCAAACGTTAAAATGCTGGGCTGAGAGTTGAGCTCAAGGGAAGGGAACCCAGAAACACAACAGGCCAGCAAAAGGGTAAAAGTTTTTTTTTTTCACCAGTCAGGATTTTGGCTTCTCTCTCCCTGTACAAAATAGTAAAAGGAATAATAAGTTTCACTATTTATATTTTCTGTGAAGTTTTAATTCATGAAAAACGATTTATGGAGTTGGTCTTAAGCTGTAGCCAATCCAGTGTTCTTTGTGTGTCTTTCTGTATGGCTTTGTCAAGAGAAAGCATATGTCAGACTAGCATGCAGGCCTGGGACCCTATAAGCCTGCTGTTTGAGCCAGTCCCAACAAAATGGTCAGTAACAAACTTTGCTGCCTCTTTTTTTATGTCCTTGGGAATGTGACCTGTAACCACGTGGCAATACTACATTTTAGTCTCCACCATTTTACAATGGTGGCCCACGTTCAATTCTGGCTTGGGAAATGAATACTTTAATTTTACCATTTGCTGATTCTCTTCCCCCTTCATGAACAACTTCTATCTGCCTTTCTTAAATCTTCCTCTAAGTTGCCTTTAAATGTTCTAGATTTTGTAATAGTGTAACTGCCCAATGGATTCACCTTGCATGCTGTCCAGGCAGAGATGATTTATCAGAACAGGGGAATTGTAGTAGGGTCAGCAGTGTGGGAGATGGGAGTTTTGTTGTTGCTCAGATGGGACTCCCTGAGCATTTGGGGAGCAGAGTTTTTGGGGACAGCTTGGTAGCAGGGGGGAGCCAATGAGACAGGAATGCTGACATGTAGAGTCAGAAATGAAATCATAGGGAGTCAAACTTGTCTTCTTGTGCTAAATTAGTTCCTGGATGGGGGCCACAAAATTAGATAAGCCAGTTTATCAATCTTGGTGATGCCAGCTGATCCAACAATGGCAGGGTTTGCAAAATATCTTAAGCACTCATCTTGGGAGTAGTTTAGAAAGGGTCAAAATCTTGTATCCTCCAGCTGCATGACTCCTAAGCCATGGTTTCTAATCTTGTGCCTAGTTTCTTGGTCTGGTCCCTAGGCAAAAAGGGAGGTTCATTTTGAGAGAGAGCTATTATTGACTTTGTTTTAAACTATAAACTGTAAACCAAGCTCTTCCCAGAGTTGGTTCCATGTATGCCTAGAGATGGGGCTGGAGATGCCAGCTTTGGGGCTGGAGGCAACATAGAGTTGGTTGGGTTGGATCTCTTTCACTGTCTCAGTCACAACTTTGCAAAAACAGTTTCAAAACCTGCTTGCCCCTCCTTTGAAAATATCTTGTATACTCATGGTTAAGTCATAACCTAAGTAAGGCTTTTGATTTCACCTGTGAGGTAACTTTTGGTAAAGTTCAAAAGCCAAAAATCCTAACTGCTTGGTGTGGCTAAAATCGAGTAACAAGGGATTTAAAGGGATTTTCTTAAAGAGCACTCAGCTTAATTAAAGTGGATATCCAAGTTATAGGCATATTTAAAAGGCCTTTATATTTTTCTGTTCTTGGATCTTGTTTTTCTGAAAAATGTTTTTTCTCAGCCAACTAAATTCCTTTTCTCCATTTTGTTTTGCCACTCCCAATGTATGCATTACTTAATGCACACATGAGAGGCCCCAAGATAACTTCTGATAGTGTGAGACTTCTTGGGAAAACAGAAAAGGCACCACAAATCTCATCTTGGGAGAAATCTCTGTTTTTTCTCATGGAACTCCAGGAATTAGTGGTGGATAGATCCCTCTCAAAAATCTGTTTTTGTCTTCCTTAAAAACTGCATGCTCTCCTAGCCCCACTCTTAAAGGGCCTCACCCAGAGACCAATAATCCAATTAATGATAAATCTTATAACAACTGAGTCTTTTTCTGTTTGTCTGTGTAGTTATGTGTGTTATGTGTAACGTCTATAAAAAGAGCTCCAATTGATTGGCTTAAAGAAAATAAGGGCTTAAATATTTTTAAAGGAAAGATAAAAGCTATAATGCCTTTTAGCTCAAGTGACTTTAACTTTTGAGAAATAAAAATAGTCTTAAGGATTATTAGTAAAATACAGGTGTCATCCAAATGCAAATAGGTGGTCTAAATCATATAAGTCAGATACTAGGTTTGCTAAATATTTCCATGCAAACTCCTGCTTTACAACTTCATAAGGCCTGGGGACATGCAAAATTATCCATGTACCTAACTATGCTGGAAAAATTCAAACTTAATCTGTGCCTACTACATAATCAAAACAACTAACCAGGTTTCACATTAAAGTTAAAAATTGCTAAAAGTCAGCATTATAACATGTAATTAAAATAGACTTACATGCAAGGTGTGTAAAAACAGTAAAATATGTTTTTAGTAAAAGAATATAAGAAGGCATAGAAATGTACATTTTGCTAGGGATAAAGGATTGTCTTAAATTAGATATGATAAAGCTGAAGGTTTAAGCAAGTTTTGGAAAGATTATATATATTAATCTTGCAAAAAATCCCATGTGAAAACATTAACTAATTTCAAAATAGTATTATATGGTCTTTTCATAAATAAAAGCATTGAAATAAAAGCACAACAAGGGTGTCTTAAAACACTGGTCTGCCCTTTAGCAAAAGGGTTATAAAAGGTTTGTAAAAATTAACGGTCAAATTGGTTAAGATTAGATGGAATTGCCAATGAGGTTTCATTTAGAAATTGGGTTCACATTAATAAACTAATACAAGGGTAAAATTTGGCTTTGAACAGGATTTTCATGTAATAGTAAACGTTAATAAAAGATTTTTGCCTTTTTTTCATCATTATGGCAAAATAAATGACTTATGGTAACCTGGAATTCTATTTCATAACATCAAGTGTTTTAAACCTCTAACATATATAACAGGCTTCCCAAAATCAAACCTCAGTTTCAACGTCGTCTTTCCTGACCTCTAGCTCTGGATGCCACAGAGGGCCCCTGAAGCATTTGAAAGAAAGGTAAACAGGCTTATTTGACATGTTTAGGTATGTGAGATTGCCACAACGATGTTTAACATTCTTCAGGTTATATTTTAGTGAATAATATTAATATATGATCCACAATTGTATGGGATTTATAAAATTCTATTGTCTGAGTATGTGCTATTAATTATAATGAAGGTTGTTAAGTCATTGTACACCACTAAGATAACCAAACTTCTCTGTCAGTCATGTTTTTAATTTTAACTTCCCTGGAAATTTTGTCATTCACAGACAATTGTTGTCTTGCTTTGTTCTTTTCAAAAGATGGTTTAAAATCAAGCTATAGGAATTTAACACATGTTCTCAAATGCAGGATTCTTATAGCTTTGACAATTGCAACATTGGAAGAGAGAAAAAATGTCCAGGACACATGAAGAGCTGAAACGTTCATGAATATCAAACAGGAGTTAACTCCATCAAATACACTAATAAAAGTCTGAATTAATCTCTTCTGCAAACACCACCATCCTATCGTAATTTGGTTTTACTCAAAATGAGGACTGGAGATGGAAAATTATGCTCCAAAACTTATACATTTGTCATTAAATTATAGTCTCATTGGTTGTTTTTAATTTTTTTTGCATACATTTTAGGCTAACCCTGCCTATTCCTGTGAATCAAGTAGTAAACTCCTGCAGCTCAGAAAAAACAAAAAGGGGTGGGTAATGTAAAAATCAGGACCAATATGCTAGTTCTTGGCAATTATCCTGCAAATCCTATCAGGTAATGAAAGTAAATAGGGTACCCATAACCCAGAGGTTTCTCTGGGAAAATAAAACCAAGGTAATTAACAAAAGCCAAGCCCCATACACCCAAATCTTAACAAGCATAACCAGAGTCACCAGTTATCAAAGGGTTACACAGCCTCAGGATTTTTTGAGCTGTCCTTACCCCCACCTTGTTTCATTTTGATACACGTACTCTAATAACCCAAATTCTTTATTCTTGCCTAGAAGCCATTAATCTCCAAATGCTACTGCAGATGGAACATACATGAACACATCATTCTTCCAAGGATCCTTAGATTGATGCCAGGAGGAGCTGTTCCCCACACAGTGCCCATCTTTCTGCAGGAAGTAGGCAGAAAGAGTTGTCATCCAACACCCACTAACAGCAGTTAGGGTTTCCACTTCTGATGGGGGGAAATAATACAGGAGCTAGAAATAAATTACTTAGGCACATAGTGAGGGTAAGAGAGTCCTTGGTGAGGTTCCCCTTTTAATAAAAAGCAGCCCCAAAAATCATTTCTTTTCTAACAAAGAGCAGCCTGAAAAATCAAGCTGCAGACATAAAAAAGCAAGCTGGCAGCTTGCATGGGTGAATGCTGGCAGTTGTGCCAATAGGAAAAGGCTACCTGGGGGCCAGGCATCTTCAGCATGGAGGCTCCATCTTCCCTTTTCTTTGTCAACCACGTGTGCAGTAAAGAAGCAGGCAACATGGCACCAACCAGGTAGAGAACCCATTCACATAGTAGAAGATTAGGATGGGGCAGCCAGCTTCTTCACATGCTATGTAAATGGCAGAGCTGGTCCAACCAACCTTTTGGGCTCTATGTAAATCAGACACCACCTCCTCAAGCTCATCTATAAAACCTGATGCATTTCACCACAAAACCAGAAGGCCCACTCAGGAGTCGCTCTCTCTCTCTCTCTCTCTGCAGGAGAGTTTTTCTCTTTTCTCTCACCTATTAAATCTCTACTATTAAACTCACTTCTTATGTATCCACAACCTCAATTTCTTTGGTGTGAGATGATGAACACTGAGTATTTACCCCAGACAAAGAACACCACTTCAGAAAGAAAAGAAGACCACAAAACAGAAAGATTAATTAGAAAATGGTAATAGGGAAGATGGTGGAAAGGAGGCAGGACTATCTTGCAGTTCCTGCTCAGACAGAGAAGCATGTGAAGATGCACATCATAACCTTTTGCTCCAGGAACTACCACAGGAACATACCAGGAAAGCTGAGAGAATCCACAGATGCTTTGAAGGAATTGGACCACTGCTGCCGACTCCCTGAGATGCTGAAAAACTGTGAGTCTACTTGCTTTCTCAACAGGGAGACTGGTGGTATGGGGAAAGTTTACAGCCCTGGTAGCCAGCTGCCTGAAAAGAGACTTGGTGCTGTTGTGGGGGCACAGTGAGAATGAGACCAGCCTTTAGCACTGCAGGCTGTATGGGAGCAGGGTGAGGCCTGTAACTGCCAGCTTGCCCCACTTTCCTGGTGACCTGTATGACTCAGCAGAGGCAGCCATAATCCCTCTGGGAACATAATTCCATTGGCCTCAGAACCACACTCCCATCCCCACAGCAGCCATAGCAAGCCTCACCCAAGGAGAGTCTGAGCTCAGAGACACCTAACCCTGCCCCCAACTGGTGGCCTTGCTCTACCCACCCTGATTGCCAAAGACAAAGAACATAATCTCCTGGGAGTTCTATGGCCCTTCCCACCACCTGAGAAACGTGAAAACTTAACCAGGTGACCCTAGGACAAGTTTGTATCCTCTCTATAGTACCACACCTAATGTGTTCTTGAAAGCACCACCTCCTGGCTGGAGGCCAACCAACACCAAACCAGTGCACCAAACAAAAATACAACCAAGGACCTTCACAAAATCCACCTCACTCCCCTGCTACCTCCACTGGAGCAAGGTGCTGGTATCCACAGCTGAAAGACTTGAAGACAGACCACATTAAAGGACTTTTTGTTGATACTCCCCAGTACAAGTCTGGGAGCATGGCAGCTCCACTGGGTGACTAGACCCAAAAAAGCAAAAACAATAACTGCGGTTTGGCTCTCAATAAGGCCCATCCATAGGGAAATGGGGAGAACACCACAACAAAGGAGCACATTGTGGGACAAAAGAATCTGAACAGCAGCTCTTGAGCCCCAGATCTTCCCTCTGACATAGTCTACCCAAATGAGAAGGAACCAGAAAAACAATTCTGGTGATATGACAAAACCAGGTTCTTTAACACCCCCAAAAGATCACACCAGCTCACCAACAGTGGATCCAAACCCAGATGAATCTCTGAATTGCCAGAAAAAAAATTCAGAAGTTTATTATTAAGCTAATCAAGGAGGCAACAGAGAAATGGGAAGTTAAACTTAAAGAAATCCAAGACATGATAAAGGATATGAAAGGAAAATTATTTAATGAAATGGATAGCATAAATTAAAAAATCACAACTTCTGGAAATCAAGGACACACTTAGGGAAATGCACACTGGAAAGTCTCAACAATAGAATCAAAGAAGCAGAAGAAAGCACTTCAGAGCTCAAAGACAAGGCTTTCAAATTAACCCAATCTATCAAAGACAATGGAAAAATAATTTTTTTAAAAATGAACAAAGCCACCAAGAAGTTTGGGACTATAATAAGCATCCAAACCTAAGAATAATTGGCTTTGCCAAGGAAGAAGAGAAATCTAAAAGTTTGAAAAAGATATTTGGGGGAATCATTGAGAAAAATTCCCCAGCTTTCCTAGAGATCTAGACATCCAAACACAAGAAGCTCAAAGAACATGTGGGAAATTCATTGCAAAAGGATCATTGCCTAGGTACATAGTTATAAGGTTATCTAAATTCAAGATGAAGGAAAAAATCTTAAGATCTGTGAGTCAAAAGCATCAGGTAACCTATAAAAAAAATCTATCAGCGTAACAGCAGATTTCTCAGCAGAAACCTTACAAGCTAGAAGGGATTGATGTCCTATCTTTAGCCTCCTTAAACAAAATCAGCCAAGAATTTTGTATCTGTGAAACCAAGCTTCAGAAATGAAGGAAAGATAGTCTTTTCCACACAAACAAATGCTGAGATAATTTACTACTGCCAAGCCAGCACTACAAGAACTGCTAAAAGGAGATGAAATCTTGACACAAATCCTTGAAATAAATCAAAATAGAACCTGCTTAACACATAAATCTCATAGGACCTATATAAAAATAACACAACAAAAAAACAAAGATATTCAGGCAAAAAAAAATCACATGATGAATAGACTAGTACCTCATCTTCATACTAACATTTAATGTAAAATGGCCTAAATGCTTCACTTAAAAGACACAGAATAGACGAATGGATAAGAAGTCACCAACCACGTTTCTACTGTCTACTTAAGACTCACCTAACACATAAGAACTCACATAAACCTGAGGTAAATGGGGTGAAAAAAGATTCCAAGCAAATGTACACCAAAAGGGAGCAGGAGTAGCTATTTTTAGATCAGACAAAACAGACTTTAAAGCAACAACGGTTTAAAAAGACAAAAAGGAATGTTATATAATGATAAAAGGAATAGTCCAACAGGAAAATATCACAATCCTAAATATATAAGCACCTAACACTGGAGCTCCCAAATTTATAAAACAATTACTACTAGGCCTAAGAAATAAAGTAGATGGCAACACAATTATATTGGGAGACTTTAATACTCCACTGACAGTACTAGACATGTCATCAAGACAGAAAGTCAACAAAGAAACAATGGACTTAAACTACACCCTACAACAAATGGACTTAACAGATATTTACAGAACATTCTGAAACAACTGCAGAATATACATTCTATTCATCAGCACATTTTCCAAGATAGACCATATGACAGGCCACAAAACAAGTCTCAGTAAATTTAAGAAAATTGAAATTATATCAAGTACTCTCTCAGACCACAGTGGGAAAAAAATTGGAAATCTACTCCCAAAGGAACCCTCAAAACCAGGCAAGTACATATAAACTAAATAACCTGCTCCTGAATAATCACTGGGTCAACAATGAAATCAAGATGGATATTAAAAAATTATTTGAATTGGATGATAATAGTGGCACACCCTATCAAAACCTCTGAAATACAACAAAAGCAGTGCTAAGAGGAAAGCTTACAGCATTAAATGCCTACATCAAAAAGTCTGAAAAAGCACAAGTAGACAATCTAAGGTCATACCTCAGGGGACTGGAGAAACAAGAACAATCCAAACCCAAACCCAGCAGAAGAAAAGGAATACAAACATAAGAGCAGAACTAAATGAAATTGAAACCAAAAAAAAAAAGATAAATGAAATAAAACTGATTATTTGATAAGATATATAAGACCTGGCATGGTGGCTAACACTTGTAATCCCAGCACTGTGGGGGGCCAAGGCAGGCAGATCACTTACGGTCAGGAGTCTGAGACCAGCCTGGCTAACATGGCAAAACCCCATCTTTACTAAAAATACAAAAATTAGCTGGCCGTGGTGGTGTGCACCTGTAATTCCAGCTACTTAGAAGGCTGAGGCAGGAAATCACTTGGACCCAGGAGGTGGAGGTTGCAGTGAGCCAAGATTGTGCCACTGCACTCCAGCCTGGGTGACAGAGTGACTCTGTCTCAGAAAAAAAAAAAAGAAAAGAAAAGAAAAGAAAGGATAAATAAAATTGATAGACCGTTAGCGAGATTAACCAAGAAGAGAGACAATACAAATAAGCTCAATTAGAAACGAAACAGGTGCTATTACCACTGATACCACAGAAATACTAAAGATCATTCAAGGCTACTATGAACACCTTTATGTGCATAAACTAGAAAACCTAGAGGAGATGGATAAATTCCTGGAAATATACAACCCTCCCAGATTAAACCAAGAAGATATAAAAACCCTGAACAGACCAATAACAAGTAGTGAGATTGAAATAGTATTTAAAAATTGCCAACAAAAAAAGTCTAGGACCGGCCAGATGCACAGCTGAATTCTATCAGACATTCAAAGAATAATTGGTACCAATCTTACTGAAACTATTCCACATGATAGAGAAAGAGGGAAACATCCCTAAATAATTCTATGAAGCCAGTATCACCCTAATACCAAAACTGGGGAAGGACATAACAACAACAACAAAAAAAACTACAAATATCCCTGATACAAAAATCCTCAACAAAATACTAGTTAATCAAATCCAACAGCATATCTAAAAGATAATCCACCATGATCAAGTGGGTTTCATAGGAGGGAGGGATGCTGGGAATGTTTTGTTTGGGGCTCCCTCAGCAGTGATATTAAACCTACGTTTGTACTTATCCATATGAACCTTAGCTGGTGCACTGGTCCACAGGGAAAAAATAGAACAAAAGGGAGTTGGTGGTTTCTATGGTTTTGACCTCTTGCTTATAAGTATTTAAGTAAGTGATTAAAAGCTTTACTGTTACTTTTATTTTTGGCTTTTTGCTTTAACGGACTACTCTAAACCTGACAGCTCAGCTCCGTCTCTCCAACTCAGTTTAGCCCTTCACATTACATATAAATCATGTCATCTGTGAATAATTAGTTTGATTTCTTCTTTTCCAATTTTAATATTTCTTTTTATTTTCCTGTCTTATTGTACTGGATAAGACCCATAATACTATGTTGAATAGAAATGGTGATAGTGGGCCAGGCATGATGGCTTTCACCCATAATCCCAGCACTTTGGGAGGCTAAGGTGGGAGGATCCTTTAAGCCCAGGAGTTTGAGACCACCCTGGGTAACAGTGAGACCTCTGTGTCTACAAAAAATGAATTTTTAAAAAATTAGCTGGTTGCGGTGGTGTGTGCCTGTAATCCCAGCTCCAGCTATTTGGGAGGCTGAGGTGGGACGATCACTTGAGCCCAGGAGTCAAGGTTACAGTTAGCTGTCATCGCACCACTACACTCCAGCCTGGCTAACAGAGGTTAGCTACTCCTCAGGGGCATCAAACAAGGAGCTCAGAGGCCGAGCAGCCATGTGTTTATGGATGCAGTGTGTTCTCCCACCTTTCACATATTTTTGAATTTGTATTTCTCTTTTATAATGGAATTCTCTTGTTAATTTTCCTACCTGCTGGGATGACTATCTGATATAGCTCAAGACATTGGGTATTTCCCATCTCAAAATAACGTGTGTCCCACACAGCCATAAAAAAGAAGGAAACCCTCAAAAAAAAAAATGAATGAAATCATGTCTTTTGCAGCAACATGGATAGAGCTAATGGCCATTACCTTAAGCAAATTAATGCAGGAACAGAAAACCAAATACTGCATGTTCTCCCTTATAAATGGAAGCTAAACATTGTGTACACATGGACACAAAGAAGGAACAATAACCAGGCACAGTGGCTCATGCCTGTAATCCCAGCACTCTGAGAGGCCGAGGTGGGTGAATCATTTGAGGTCAGGAGTTCGAGACCAGCCTGGCCAACATGGTGAACCATCTCTACTAAAAATACAAAAATTAGCTGGGCGTTGTGGCGGGCACCTGTAATCGCAGCTACTCGGGAGGCTGAGGCAGGAGAATCACTTGAATCCAGGAGGCAGAGGTGGCAGTGAGCCAAGATCGAGCTACTGCACTCCAGCCTGGGAGACAGAATAAGACTCCATCTCAAAAAAAAAAAAAAAAAAAAAAGCAGTGGCGGGGAGAACAATAGACATTGGCACCTACTTGAGGGTACAGGTTGGGAGAAGGGTGAGAATTGAAAGCTACCTACCAGGTATTTTGCTAATTACCTGGGTGACAAAATTATCTGTACACAAAACCCCCACAACACACCATTTACCCATGTAACAAATCTGCACATGTACTTCTTGAACCTAAAAGTTGGAAAGAAAAAAAGTAGTAAAAAAAATAATAACAATGTATCTCCTTCAGCAATAAAAGCAGTTTCAACTGAAGTCCAATAATAAATGAGCAATCACTTTTCAAATAAGTGTGTACTTTTTAGCTGTTTCAGGAAACTCCCCAGTCCAAAATGCCAGTGGTTACCACTAATTAGTAATTCCATATCTTTTGCAGAAGGCATTGTTCAGAAGAGACATTTTTCCTCATGACTCCCTTTTTAGGATCAGAGAAGCATCACACGGAAGCTCTCCAGCAGTTTTTCTTTCTTGTCTCATGGGCTGGAATTGTGTCACATGCCTATGTAAATCACTGGAAAGTGAAGAGCATTATTATAAATGGTTTCAGCTAATCCTGATTCACACCTATGGCCTGGATGGACTCCACTTTGTCCCAAACACATGACCACCTCACACCAGAACATAATGGATTTCTATTAAAGCTGGATAAGATAGAAAATAGCTTCTCTGTGGGTAAATAACTGCCTACCCATCCAACAGGCCTTTATTGATTACTTCCTACCCTCTTGTATCTTTAACTTCTCTTTCTTTCTCTCTCTGTCTCTCCCTAGCTTCTTCCCACTAGCATTTAAACATCAATTTTCCCCCCCTTAAAAAAAAAAACTATCCTCAACCCCACTTCCCCCTTCAGTGACTAATTTGCATGATTGCAAATAATATAGTGACTATTTGCATTATTATAACTGGTTTCAACTAATCCTGAGTCACACCTGTGGCCTGGATGGACTCCACTTTGCTCCAAACATATGACCACCTCACACCAGAACAAAACGGATTTTTATTAAAGAGGAAGAAGATAGAAAATCACTTCTCTGTGGGTAAATCACTGTCTACCCATCCAACAGGCCTTTATTGAATACTTCCCGCCCTCTTGTGTCTTTAACTTTTCTTTCTTTCTCTCTCCCTCTGTCTCTCCCCAGCTCCTTCCCACTAGCATTTAAACATCAATTTTCCCCCTCTTAAAAAAAAACTATCCTCAACCTCATTTCCCCCTTTAGTGACTACTTTGGTTCTCATGCAACTCCATGTAGTAATATTATCTCTGTTTTGCACAAGAGGAAACTGAGGTACAGAGAAGTTGAGTAACTTCCCCAAAATCACACAGCTTGGCCAGTAGTTAATAAAGACAGCCAACATTATAGCAGCAGTAGAAAATGCAAACATCTCTCTCTCAATTTAGTTCAGAAAATACTTTCCAAATATTTTCCATTCATAATGCACTAGATGGATTTCACATGCTGTCTTTTGGTATTCTCCCCAATAACCTTTATTTAAGGCTGTTTTACAGGCTCAAGTATGTTAAGGGATCTTAAGTGGCAAGCATAGAGCCATATGGTAAATAGAAGCATTTGAAATCATACCCAGGTTATGTCTATTGTATATTATTTCCCCAAGATCCTACCAGATCCCATTCATGTAGAGGATGTCCCTGGTCCTAAGTCTGAATTCTGTTCAGTCTTCCCTTCCACTCCACAGGCATCAGGAAATTTCCAGAATCAAATCTTCCAAGATAGCACTGAAGCAATTCCCCTGGATGAGGACCAAAGGTAGGAAAGGAAGATGAGAGGCATTCTCTTTTCTCTATGCCTCTTTTATAAACTACTGATGCCCATGTTATCTGATGGAGGAATTTTCTCTGCTTGCCATTGGTGGTGGAATCAAAGTTTGCTAAGCAACACAAAGCTGGTATGTGTCAGCACCTCCTCTCCCATCACACCCAATGGATGAGACACAGCATGGAATCAGTACATAATCACACATAATGGCATAATAGTTAGAGCTCAGGCTTAGAATTAAATCAATCTGGATTTAAATTTAAACTGCCAGTTATTTGCTCTTTGACCTTCGCCAAATGATACGCAGAGTGAGCATCAATTTCTTTACATATAAAATGGAATAAATACCTTCCTCACAGGGACTAGGTGTGAATTAGATGAGATTCCAAACTTAGCAGAGTGATAGTGCTGATAATTTGTTAATTCTCAGTGTATCCTCATTTCCTTTATCTCCTGTAACCATTTCAGGGAATCATCACTTCATTGTCAGATGTTTTATTGGAGAGAAGATCAAACACTCATAGGAATATTTCATAATTATGACTTATGAATCAGTATTCAATACTTCAAAATTTGGCTTTTCTTATCTCCTAATTTCTAGAACTCTCTACATCCTACCAACCATAAGAGTAAAGAAGACAAACTATATATATGAGTTGAGACAATTCTTGCCAGAAGCCTGAATCAGTCACACCATGAGTTCTGATTTCCTTTACAGAAAATGATAACAGATAACAGTAAGCCTTTATGCTTCCCCAACCACCATTCTAAGTACTTTACATGCATTATCTCATGTAACCACCACAACAGTCCTAGGAGGCAAGAACTATCATCACCCCCCTTTTTACAGATGTAGAAACTCAAGGCTGAGGAAACAAGGTCACCTAATTAGTAAGAAGAATCAGTAGGGGCTGGGCACAGTGGCTCAGGCCTGTAATCCTAGCACTTTGGGAGGCCGAGGCAGGTGGATCACCTGAGGTCAGAAGTGTGAGACCAACTTGGCCAACATGGCGAAACTCCATCTCTACTAAAAATACAAAAATTAGCCAGGCATGATGGCAGGTGCCTATAATCCCAGCTATTCAGGGGGCTGAGGCAGGAGAATCACTTAAACCCAGAGGCCAGAAGTTGCAGTGAGCCAAGATCGCACCACTTCACACCAGCCTGGGTAAAAGAGCAAAACTCCATCTCAAAAAAAAAAAAAAAAGTCAGTAATTTACTCTTAAGCATGATTCAGATTTATAATACTAAAGAGCAGTTTCTCTAGCCTACATGTGTCTATCTTCAGAGTATTAATAATATAGCAGTTTTTCACTGACAGATATCTTCACATGTTATCTTGCTCAATTCTCCCTATAACTCTATGGGGCAGGTGTTATTAGAGTTGTTTTATAGGCTCTGATTGGCCCATGGATCCATACCCCCAATGACTAGAACATTCTGGGTCTAGGGTCTCAGGATTTAAGATCACTTTGTAACCACAGTCATAAGAAAGGCTGTTAACCTAGCCTAGCTGGCTTTCCCCCAACCTTTTGGTCACAGATGTCATGGTCACAAGAGAAAGAACAGGATAAATTGGTTTGGCTACCACCTTGGCTGATGCTAATTCTAATCTTCTGGGAGATGTCAGAGCATTCCTAACTCCTCGCACTTGAATAATATCCATTAAATATTTTCCTGAATCCACATCTGAAAATCTTGATAAGGACAGACTCAGGATTTCTGACCCAGGAAGACCACATAAGCATAACCAGCCACAAATCACAGATGCTGTTTCGTTCTGAATTTCCAAATTTGGATCCAGACTTCCCAGGACCAAAGGAGCTGTCTCCAGCCTGAGCACGTGCTTACCAAAAAAAAAAAAAGGGGGTTAAAATAAGTGATTTAAAATAGAGACTTGCTACTTCAAGACAACATTGATTTGTTGCTGATTTCATTGCGCTTGCAATCCCAAATTTTTCTGTTTTAACTTAGTTTTCAATATTCAGGGCTATAAATTGGGTTAGACCTCAGATCAAGTGATTTTTATAATATCCTTCATCTGGTCACCAAGAAAGCCTGGCAAATGCATTCTAAGGCGACTTGGAGAAAGACGTCCTTCAATGGCTAGGTATTTTTCCCATCAATATCTGTTGAAGACTAATGGAAACCGAAGTCAGACTTTGGAAGCTGACAAGAGAAATTCACATTCATTTCTGAGCTCAGATGCTTGTGTCTCACACTCACAGGATGATGTGATCCAACAGAGCAAAATAAATCCAGCCCGTGAACTCAGCTGTATTTAGGAAGTTTCTCTTACCAGTCATTTTAAGTCACCAATTGAGGAAAACATATATAATACTTAAGTTAAAAATGGATGAAATCTGCAAAGCAGCAGTTAGTGATGAGCCAGTGAATGCTAACTCCATGCAAACTGCTCTCTACAAATAAGATGTCTTGCTATTGAATGACCCCATTACTTCTTTACCTTATTAGTCATTTTTTCTCAAGATAATACTAGGGTCTTCAATTTACAGGTGAGTTATATTTAAACATGTGTTTCTACTGTTACAGATTTTTATGAATAATAACCAAAATAGTCCACTAAGAAAAACATTCACCAGGGATATTATAGACCCTGACTTGATAATAAAACTTTTATTAAATTATTTTACTGACTACAAAAGTAATATATTCTCTCTGTAGAAAACTGAGATCAGAAACTTTTTAAAAGAACATTAAAATTTCCCTTAATCCCATAATTCATATAAGCATTATTATCCTTCATGTACTTTTTTCAGATATATTTTTAGTGGATATATGGCATTTTAAACAATTTGGGTCATAATATATAAACTATTTTATATTTTGTATTTCCCACTCAATATTATATTGAAAGACTCTTTCCACCCCATTAATTCTCAGTGTATTTTTTTGTATAAATAATTATTATTAATTATTTTGCAAATAACTTTAATGTTCACTTGACATAGAATAACTATAATTCATTTAACTGTTCCTCTTTATGTATATTTGGAGTTTTTTACCTTTTTATTAGTATAAAAATATTGTGAAATACAACTTGTATACATAATTTTGTCTATATTTTTTATCTAGAGTAGATTTCTAAACATAAGGAATACTGTGCCAAGGGTCATAACTAGTTACAAAACCCTTATTATAATAAGGGGTCAAACTTCTTTCTAGAATGTTTTATGTCAACACACATTCACCACCACTGAATAACACAACTATCATAAATCTTTGCCAATTCATCAGTATTTTACTGTTTTAAAATTGCATTTCTTTGGTAACTTATGAAAGAGGACTTTTTAGATGTCTAATGTTTTTTCTGAGAATTATCTTTTCTTAGTTTTACCCTTATTTACACCTTAATTCACACCTTAATAGTGTGAGTAAACATTTTAATTTGTTAACTGCTTTTATAATAACAGTTGTCATACTTGTTGCAATTATTTTTCCAAGGTGTTCCATACCTTTATGTAGCTGAGCTCATCAGTTTTGTTTTGTATCTTATACCATTATATTTTTATTTTAAAATATCCTTTCTTAGCTACAGATGAAATATATATTGATTTTTTTTTTGGTTTTGAAAAGATCTATGTTTTACCTGAAGTCTTTAATACATGCTATTCTTTTTTCTCTTTTTCTTTGGTTCTTTTTTTTCTTTTTTTGATGATTCCATTAAGAAGAGACTTATTTCGTTTTGAAAAACACCTATCTAGTTATTTTAAAATCTTTTATGAGCTACACATAATACCTTTCTAAATATTATTCACAAATAATATCCTTTGGTGGTATTACCATATTTGTTTCTTATTGAGCTCATTTCTATTCTTCAGTTTTCTTTGTATTTTTAAAATATCAAAAAGCTTTTTAATTTAGTTATCAAGTCTAATTTTTTATTGCCTGATGTCTTTCTGTGTTACACCTTTTTTTCTGAATATAATTGCTTGTTATTTACCTTGAGTTGAGTACTGAGTTCATTTATTTTCTCTCTTAATATTACAATGATAAATAACTTAAAGATAAAAATAATTATATGCAAAATTTTGTTTACTTGTGTTCTTTATCAAGATGTGGAGTACATGGTAAGCTATAGGTTTACCTTTAGGATACAAAGCTTGATATATTTAATCATGATATTCTTTAGTTCCTCCATTCCATTTGTTATTTTTCCCATTTTATATATGAAAAAGTTTAGGCACAATGAGACTAAGATCTGTACACAATATCATGTGGCTAATAGTCAGTGAAGATAAAATGTAAAAATTAGGCATCTGATTCTAAAAAACACTCTGTCCAATAAATTATGGTGCTTTTTTTCCCTCACCTTAAAATTATGTTTTCTAAACAGATCCATATAATTTTTCATAGTCATCCTTAAATTGGGTTTTGATTTGCAAAATGCCCTGAATTCTAAACATGACAGTTCTCCAAGTGAATTCTAAAGTTTCAGATACATCTGGGGAATGCTGCCTTGCATCATGCTGTTTTATCCTCTTCCAGGATATGCTTCCAGAAGTGTTTGATTGTATTCTTAGACAATTCTGTTTGGATGTGGCATAAATTCTCAAATCTAACTGCCATGGAGTATCTTACTGCAGCCTCAAACATTCACTCAGTTCAGTTGATTCTGAAATGTGGTGGCATCATCCTTAATTTCAAAGTGAACTCACCTGATGTTTTATAGTTACCCTGAAACAAGTTAAAAATAACCAGAATAACAAACTCTGCACCGTAGCCTCATGAACATGAGTGGTTAAAAAAAAAAAAAAAACGAAAAAAAAAAGAAACTAGGAAATTGACAGGAATTCAAGCCTCTGCTCCTCCTCTTTTTACTGCTGTTTTTCTATGGGGAAAAAAATGCTGTAAGGGTGATTGAGAGAATATCCATCCATGTACAATCATAGGAAAAATGCCTGACATGTCAACATCATAAAATCATGTTTGTGTACATAAATGAATGTGTGTATGTGTTTTTCTGTGTCTGTGTGTGTCTCTGTATGAGAGAGAAGAGGTATCTGTGTTCATTATGTCATGAATAACATAGCTCAACTTAGTCTTGGGTTTATAGATTTAGGGATTCCATCAGTGTTACAGAAAATAATCCTGACCAAAATTATTTTATTGTTCAAAATGTATGTGTCAAATTGCAATCCTTGTGCTATTCACAGAAAAATCAATTATCCAAATACCAAACTGGATTTCGAGCAAGTGAACAACATAACGGAATTCATCTTGCTTGGCCTGACACAGAACGCAGAGGCACAGAAACTCTTGTTTGCTGTGTTTACACTCATCTACTTTCTCACCATGGTAGACAACCTAATCATTGTGGTGACAATCACCACCAGCCCAGCCCTGGACTCCCCCGTGTATTTTTTTCTGTCTTTCTTTTCCTTCATAGATGGCTGCTCCTCTTCTACCATGGCCCCCAAAATGATATTTGACTTACTCACTGAAAAGAAAACTATTTCCTTCAGTGGGTGCATGACCCAGCTCTTTGTAGAACATTTCTTTGGGGGAGTTGAGATCATTCTGCTCGTGGTGATGGCCTATGACTGCTATGTGGCCATCTGCAAGCCCCTGTACTACCTGATCACAATGAACAGGCAGGTATGTGGCCTCCTGGTGGCCATGGCATGGGTCGGGGGATTTCTTCACGCTCTGATTCAAATGCTTTTAATAGTCTGGCTGCCCTTCTGTGGCCCCAATGTCATTGACCATTTCATCTGTGACCTTTTCCCTCTGCTAAAACTCTCCTGCACTGACACTCACGTCTTTGGACTCTTTGTTGCCGCCAACAGTGGGCTGATGTGTATGCTCATTTTTTCTATTCTTATTACCTCTTACGTCCTAATCCTCTGCTCACAGCGGAAGGCTCTCTCTACCTGCGCCTTCCATATCACTGTAGTCGTCCTATTCTTTGTTCCCTGTATATTGGTGTACCTTCGACCCATGATCACCTTCCCTATTGATAAAGCTGTGTCTGTGTTTTATACTGTGGTAACACCCATGTTAAACCCTTTAATCTACACCCTCAGAAACACAGAGGTGAAAAATGCCATGAAGCAGCTCTGGAGCCAAATAATCTGGGGTAACAATTTGTGTGATTAGAGAAGATAAACACAGAACCTACTCATATTTTAACAACAGGTATGACTAATGAAAAGGGTAAAGGTCTTGAGGTCAGAATAGTGAGTTTAAGTATATTTTATTCCCCTCATTTTCTGGAATCTTTAATGATGCCTTTTCATAAAAGATCAATATCTGATTAAATGATGACTAATGTTTCTGCCAATTTGAAACTTCTTCACATTTACAAATTATTAATCAGGGGGACATTGCTAGTCAACATAAAAATGTTACAGTGTATGGAAAACCCATGAGTTTATGTGTTTAGTAGAATAATTATCTGCAAAGCTTCGGTATAGAGTATATAACTAACAGGCCAAATAATTAAAATAAACAAAAAGACCTAATGGCTAAATCTTTTGTTGAAAATGCATAGTTTTAATCCCAACTAATAAAATCGAAGTAGAACTATTATTGTGAGAGAGAGAGATAGGTGAGAAACGATTGGGTTTTGAGGAATGAGAGTCGTTAAAGCAGCACTCATCCAAAATTAATGCTGTTGTGTTCACAACTCCAGGGGTGATCATTTACAGTATAATCTGGCTGTCTCCAGAATAAATTATTTTCTCTGTCTACAGCCAAAGAGGTGTAGAAAATTCATCCAGGTACAATCATAGAACAATCTTGGACATTATTTCTCAGGTAGAAGATATTTTGTGAAGCACTTTTTTTCTGTCGAAAATATCCTATACACCACTTCACCTCAAAAATGGCTTTTATTGGATGGATTTGTGCCTTAGCTAATAGAAACAAAGTAGCTGACCCAAAAGAGAATTGGTGGCTGGGTGTGGTGGCTCATGCCTGTAATGCCAACACTTTGGGAGGCAGAGGCAGGCAGATCACTAGAGGCCAGGAGTTTGAGGCCAGCCTGGCAAACATGGTAATATCCCATCTCTACTAAAAATAGAAAAATTAGCTGGGCGTGGTGGCCATGCCTGTAATCCCAGCTACTCTGGAGGCTGAGGCACGAAAATCACTTGAACCCGGGGAGCAGAGGATGCGGTGAACCAAGATTGTGCCACTACACTCCAGGCTGGGCAACACAGTGAGACTCCATCTCAAAAAATGAAAAAAAGAGAATTAGTGACATGTGAGTAATTAAGGCAGAAATTCTGCACATTCAAATTTGAATAAAGAATTGTAGCCCAGCTGCAGACCATTGAGATGGGAAGTAATTTGAGATGTGGATACAGTGCAATCCTAAGAAAAATAATCCAGATTTTTAAAAAGATCTAGACCAGAGCCAGGCCAGAAGTCCTATAAATCTCAGCAACTTCACTTCTACCTTCGTAAGAACTGAATTAACCCACAGGACTAAACAACTATGCTTAACTCTTATGTTAAGTATATATTACATACAAATTAATATTCAACAGTTTAGTAAACAATTTATTCCAAGGAGATGAGTTTTTCTTAATTGTGGCTAACCCATTTTCTGGTCATGAAATATCTATGTGCTACCACTATGTTTTCCAGCCCACTCCTTTTTAAGGAGAGCCACATTTGCAGAAGTGATATATGTCACATTGAGGCATAACCATTTAGGAGCCAGCAAGCTACTCCCCAGCTTTATTTTTCTCTGCTGCAGCAAACCTGGGAGACACAAACTGATATGAAACAGCTATACAGAAGCAACAGTCTGGATTGCTGAGTAACTACATGGAGAACAGTTCCCTAGAGGATCACCCAACCCACAGCTCAGCAGATTTGGCTTGAACAGGAAATAAAATTGTATGTGTTAAACCACTGAGAGTTCAGAATTCATATGTTACCACAGCAAAATGCAGCTTATGCTGACTAATGACACAACTAACTTTATCTTTTAAAGGACTTATAACAGTTAACGTAACATTTGCAATTATCTTGATTCTCAAATAGCATAGAATGGGTAAATACCAATCCTTACACAATCAAGTCTAAATAGAGCCTTTTTCAGCTTTGGTGTAGCTCACTACGGTAACTGACAAATTTAAGCCATAAATTTATAAACCATCTTCTTTTTCCCTTTACCTAAGTTGTAAGGCAATACTGAAGAAAATTATACAATTATACACTAAGGGGATGCCAAAAACTTGTGAACTCCAATATGAACTAGGTCTTCAAAACTTCCTGAGCAAAATTTCTGGCTATCATAGACAGGTCCTTCTTTCTACACATTCTTGTTTGTTTGTTTGTTTGTTTGTTTGTTTGTTTTTGTAAGTGGTTTATTTCACAGCAATAGATAACTGAAATGGGCAAAGGTGGAAAACAGATGCAGGACACCAGTGGGCCAGCTTTTGTGGTCATTTAGGGAAGAAATGACAGACTCGTGCAGACCAGTGGAGGTGAGGATAGTAAGTGGTCGGATTCAGGACACTCTTTATTAGTTCAGTTTTCAGGTTGGAATGCTAGGAAAAAAGAGGTATAACAGAAAAGCAGCAAGTCCCTGCCTGGCTCTCCTCTCCAGACCACTCCTTACAGACAACTACTTTAGACTCCTGGCTCTCTCTTTGATAGCTACCACCATATTGCACCAACCAGTTGCTTATACTGTTAGCTTTTTTTTTCCTTTGTTTTGCTTTTTTAAAAAAAATAAGATTAAACCGTTGCATGAGAGAAGTCCTTCTTAATCAAGAAACAAAACCTCAAAAGCATAAAAACACCTCCAAAAAATAAAAAAAACTTGTGTATTATTTAAAAAATGCCACAAAGTTAAAAGAGGAGCTATAATGAAAATATTTGCAAAATATGACAAAAATCTCACACCCTAAATATATAAACAATTCTAAAGGAAAAGACAGTCAAATAGAGATTAGTATTCAGCTGCTTTAAGAACTTCCCTTTATATTGCTGCATTTTGATGTATGAGTTTTAGACATGTCTCATCCTCCACTGGCTTCTCAGACCATGGTGGTCTCAGGGTTCCAAGAAGGTGAGAGGAGAAGTTTCGAGACTTCTTAGAGCCTCAGCTGTGGAACTCACACAATGTCCCTTCTTTCTTGTCTTATTGGTCAAAATAACTCATAAGGCCAACCAAGGTCAAAAGGGTGAAGAAATAGGAACCACCCCCCACCCCACTGGGATAAACAGCAAAGTCCCATTGCAAAGTGGTGTGGATACAGAGATGTATGGTTCTTTGGGATCATTATTATAACACTCTCTCATATGATGCCTAAAAATACCTTTCTTCAGCACTCAAAATTGATTGTTTGGCTGGGGATATTATTTTAGATTGATAACTATTTTTTCTAAGAATGAAAGCATTGCTGCATTGTCTTATAGCTTCCAGTATTGTTGGCAAGGGTAATGTCATTTTGATTTCTGTTCCTTTATATATGATCTCATATTCTCCTCTGAAATCTTTCAGGATCTACTTATTTATTGTATAGTGCACCCTTGACATCAGTAACTCCATCTTAGAAAAAGATCTACTTTACATTTCATAAGGCACTTTGTCAGCTGAGACCAGATGTTTTGCCTGATCAATAAAAACTGCATCCAGGCCAGGTGTGGTGACTCATGCCTGTAATCCCAGCATTCTGGGAGGCCGAGGCGGGCAGATAACCTGAGGTCAGGAGTTCGAGACCAGCCTGGTCAACATGGCAAACCCCTACCTCTACTAAAAATATAAAAATTAGCCACACTTGGTGGCTGGTGCCTGTAATTCCAGCTACTCAGCAGGCTGAGGCACAAGACTCACTTGAACCTGGGAATCAGAGGCTGCAATGAGCTGAGATCTCACCACTGCCCTCCAGCCTGGGCAATATAGTGAGACTCTGTCTCAAAAATAAATAAATATATACCTACATACATACATACATACATACATACATACATACATACATACATACATACTTCATCCAATCAGATAAGGACATAACCAAGCACATGCCTCCTCTATCAGTCCTCACCAGAGGACTCTGTGGCCATAAAAAGAACAGGACTTCAGCAGCTCCAATCAGCTGTCTTAACAGACACTGTCTTGTTGTCACTTGTGATAAGCACCTGGAATCTGCCACCAAAGGCTCTGCCCACATCAAAGACGCTTTCTTGCAAGACCAATGGACCACCTGGCCCAGACAAGGAAATTCTTTTTGTCTACATTGCTTGGTTTGTTAACCTCTTTTCCTATCCCCTTTTTCTTGATGTTAAATATTACTTTGTTTGCTATAGAACGTTTAATCTATAACATTTATATATTGATTAAGTGTACTATTATGTAGGATTTGCAATATTGACTGACTTTTGGAATGGCTTGTCAGGCTCTGTGCCTGCAGCTCTGACTACCAAGTGAATGGGAAGTACTAAGGAGAATTGCCTCCTTGGGAAATCCATGTAGCTTGAGGCTTTTATGATTGAGATGGCACCAATAAAAGTCAGACATCATGGAAAGACACAACTGTGCATGGTGCTGGTTATCTCTGACCTTGTGCTGCTCATGGGATCTACAGTGTGATGAAGTTTCATAACATGGCCTTGTATGTCTTCATTTTTTATTTTATCTCTTCCTCTTCCTGTTTTTTATTTACTGTGTTAAGCATTCAGAAGGTCATTTTAATCTGGAAACATGTGTCCTTCAGTTTGGAAGTTTTTCTGATATTATTTCTTTGATAGATATATTTTCCATAAATATATTTCCTCACAAAAAATTAGAAGAGTGGCATTATTTTACATTTTTGAACATCTCTTTTCTTAATTTCAATAGTTTTATGAGTATAAGTGGTTTTGTTTACATAAATAAATTTATCCATGTATAATGGTGAAGTCTGGGCTTTTAGGGTACCTATCACTGAATAGTGTACAGTGTACCCAATAGCTGACTTTTTTATCCCTCATCTATCTCTCACCCTTCCCGCTTCTGAGTCTCCAATGTCTAGTGTACCAGTCTGCATGCCTTTGTGTATCCATAGCTTAGTTCCTACTTATAAGTGAAAACATGCAGTATTTGGTTTTTTCTTCCTGAGTTACTTCACTTAGGATAACAGCCTCCAGTTCCATCTAAGTTCCTGCAAGAGATATTATTTAGTTCTTTTTTATGGCTGAGTAGTATTCCATGATATATACACGCCACATTTTCTTTATTGGTTGATGTTCACTTAGGTTGATTCCATGTGTTTGCAGTTGTGAATTGTGCTGTGATAAACATACACATACAAGTTTCTTTTTAATATAATGACTTATTTTCCTTTGATTAGATGCCCAGTAGTGGGATTGGTAGATTAAATGGTAGACCTACTTTTAGTTCTTTGAGAAATCTTCATAAGTTTTCCATAGAGGTTGCACTAATTTACATTTCCACCAACAATCTTTAAGCATTCCCTTTTCACCTCATCCACACTAACATCTATTGTTGTGGTTTTAATTTGCATTTCCATGATGATTAGTGATGTTGAGTATTTTTTATGTTTGTTGCCCATTTGTATATCCTCTTTTGAGAAATGTCTATTCATATCATTTGCTCACATTTTAGTGGGATTATTTGGTTTTTCCTTGTTAATTTGTTTGAGTTCCTTGTAGATTCTGGATATTAGTCCTTCGTCAAATGTTGAGTTTATAAATTTTTTTTTGATTCTGTAGGTTGTCTGTTTGCTCTGTTGATTATTTCTTTTGCTATGCAGAATCATTTCAGTTTAATTAAGTCCTATTTATTTTTATTTTTGTTGCATTTGCTTTTGGGGTCTTAGACATAAATTCTTTGCCTAGGTCAATGTTCAAAAAAGTTTTTCCTAGGTTCTTCTAGAATTTTTATGGTTTCCGGTCTTACATTTAATTTTTTAATCCATCTTGAGTTAATTTTTGTATATGATGAGAGATAGATATCTGGTTTCCTTCTTCTGAATGTGGCTATCCCATTTTCCCAGCACCATTTATTGAATAGGTTGTCCTTTCCCCAGTGCATGTTTTTTTGTCTGTTTTTGGGTTTTTTTGTCTGCTTTGTCAAAGATCAGTTGGTTGTAGATATTTGTCATTATTTCTAGGTTCTCCATTCTCTTCTCTTTGTCTATATATATACTTTTATACCAGTACCATGCTATTTTGGTTATTATATCCTTGTAGGATAATTTAAAGTCAGGTAATATGGTGCCTTCAGCTTTGTTCTTTTTGCCTAGGATTGCTTTAGCTATTTGAGCTCTTCCTTGGTTCCATATGAATTTTAGTTTTGTTTTTCTAATTGTGCGAAAAATGAGGTTGGTATTTTGATAGGAATTGCACTGAATCTATAGATTGCTCTGAGTAATACGGTCATTTTCACATTGATTCTTCCAATCTATGAGCATGGCATGTTTTTCTATTTGTTTCCTACATATTCTTCCAATTTCAATAACTTGTTAATATGGTTTGGCTATGTGTCCCTACACAAATCTCATGCCAAATTGTAATTCCCAACGTTGTGGAAGGGACCTAGTGGGAGGTGATCGGATCATGGGGACGGATTTCCCCCTTGCTGTATTTTGTGATAGTGACTGAGTTCTCATGAGATATGGTTGTTTAAATGTGCCTAGAACAACCCCTTTGCTCTCTCTCTCTTGCTCCCTTGCTTGCTTCCCCTTCACCTTCTGCCATTACTGTAAGTTCCCTGAGGCCTTCCAGCCATGCTTCTGGTACAGCCTACAGAACTGTGAGTCAATTAAACCTCTTTTCTTCATAAATTACCCAGTCTCAAGTAGTTCTTTATAGCAATGTGAGAATGGACTAATATAGAAAATTGGTACCACAGAAGTGGGGCATTGCTATAAAGGTACCTGAAAATGTTGGAAGCAACTTTGGAACTAGGTAATAGGCAAAGATTGGAACAGATAGAGGGCTCAGAAGAAGACAGGAAGATGTGGGAAAATTTGGAACTTCCTAGAGGTTTGTGAATGCTTTGACCAAAATGCTGATAGTGATATAGACAGAGATGGCCAAGCTAATGAGGTATCAGATGGAGATAAAGGAACTTATTGGGAACTAAAGTAAAGGTCACTCTTGCTATGCTTTAGCAAAGAAATTGGCAGCATTGTGCCCCCATTCTAGAGATCTGTGGAACTTTGAACTTGAGATGATTTAGGGTACCTGGCAGAAAAATTCTAAGCACCAAAGCATTTAACATGTAGCCTGGCTGCTTCTAAAAAGCCTATGCTCATTTGCATAAACAAATAAATGACCTGAAAATAAAACTTATATTAAAAAGGGAAGCAGAGCATAAAAGCTTGGGAAATTTGCAGCCCAACTATGCAGTAGAAAAGAAAATAACCATTTTCTGGGGAGGAATTCAAGGCTGCAGAAATTTGCATAAGTAAAGAAGAGCCAAATGTTAATAGTCAAGATAATGGAGAAAATTACTCCATGGCATTTCAGAGACCTTTGTGGCAGCCCCTCCCATCACAGGCCTGGAGGCCTAAGAGGAAAAAATTGTTTCATGGGCCAGGCCCAAGGCCTTCCTGCTGTGTGCCGCCTCAGAACATGGCACCCTGCCTCCCAGCCACTCCAGCTCTAGTCATGGCTAAAAGGGGCCAAAGTACAGATCAGGCCATTGATTCAGAGGGTGCAAGGCCCAAGCTTCCACATGGTATTTGGCCTGCAGGTGTGCAGAAGGCAAAAGTTGAGGTTTGGGAGCCTCTGTCTAGATTTCAAAGGATGTATGGAAATGTCTTGATGTCCAGGCAGACGTTTGCTTCAGTTCTCATTCGGGAACCTCTACTATGGCAGTGCAAAGGAGAAATGTGGAGTGGAAGCCCCCACACAGAGTCCTCACGAAGCACTGCCTACTGGAACTGTGAGAAAACGGCCATCATCCTCCAGATCACAGAATGATAGATCTACCCACAGCTTGCCCCGGCACCTGGAAAAGCTGCAGGCACTCAACGTTAGCCCATGAAAGCAGCCACAGGGACTGTACCCTGCAGAGCCACAGGGATGGAGCTGCCCAAGGCCTTGAGAGCCCAACTTCTTTTGCATCAGTGTGGCCTGGATGTGAGACATGTAGTCAAAGGAGATTACTTTGGAGCTTTAGGATTTAATGACTACCCTACTGGGTTTCAGACTTGCATGGAGCTTATAGCCCCTTTGCCTTGGCCAATTTCTCCCTTTTGGAATGGGGACATTTGCTTGCCTAATGCTTATACCCCCATTGTATCTTGGAGGTAACTAACTTGTTTTTGGTTTTATAGGCACGCAGGAGTAAGGGACTTGCCTTGTCTCAGGTTAGACTTTGGACTTGGACTTTTGAGTTAATCCTAGAATTAGTTAGGATTTGGGGGGACTGTTGGAAGGCATGATTGTGTTTTGAAATGTGATAAGGATGTTAGATTGGGTTGTTTAAACATGTGTAGCACTTTCCCCTTCACTGTATCTCCTGTTCCACCACAGTAAGATGTGCTTGCTTCCCCCTTCACTTTCCACCATGATTGTAAGCTTCCTGAGGACCCCCAGCCATGCTTCCTGTACAGCCTGCAGAACTATGAGTCAATTAAATCTCTTTTCTTCATAAATTTCCTGGTCTCAGGTAGTTCCTTATAGCAGTACGAGAACTAATACATCTACATTCCACAAATTTTCCTTTAATCTCAGAACATTACACCTCCTACTTGTCAGGAAAATAGGAACCAAAACAGAATCTCTCAACCTTAAGCTTCTTTATCAATAATGATATGAAAATTCTCACCGGACAACTCTTGTCCCTCCACAGAAGCATCAATTTGAACTATCTACATTAAAAATACCTTCACAAGAGCTAAGGAAACCAGCTGAGATATTATAGCACCTGGGTGTAGCACAGAAATAAGAAAAGATGCATTGAAGAGGATAGAAAAGACGATTTTACATTACCTGTGTCACCACCCATGTTCCCCACAACCCCAGGCAGCATGGCATGGAGAGAAATAGCCTCTGCATGAAGGAAGGAGAGGGAAATGAGCACTGCACTTGGCCTCAGACTCTAATATCAGAATAGCCCCAGTAAAATTTAGCGCTGGCCAGTACCCCATGGCCCCAGGTTCCAGGACTCCCTTGCTGACTTGGTCTCTGGACCCACAACATTGCCAGGCAAACTCCAATAGCTCCAGGTTTCAAGCCTACCCCTACCCCAGTGTGAGGCAGGCCCCATAGCCCTAGTCATAAGGTCCATATCCACAGATCCAGACTCCAAGCTGACCCTCAGGTCCAGGCTCCCGGCCTGCCTAGTACCAGGCCAGCCCCTGTGACCCCAGTTTCCAGCTCTGCACCAGGTTCCAGACCAGCTCAGAGCAAGGTTGGCCTACACAGCCCTAGGCTTCAGGACCACTCCAGCAGCCCTGAGGTCAGCACACCTGGCCTCAGGTACCAGGCTAGCACTCACAGACAGAGTCTCCAGGCTTATGCAGTAGGAGACTGGTCCCTGTGGCCCCACCCACCAGGCTGAACCCAGCATTCCTACATTTTAGCAGACTTAGGACTCAGGGCTTCTTGAATACCCAGGGTCCAGGCCCAGCCCAATAAACCCAAGCACTGGGCCACCCCTCCTGGACCCAGGCTCTAGGAATGCTACTGTGGACCTAGGTTTCAGGCTGGCACCTGAGGCCTCAGGACCCATCCATCCATCATGAACTCAACCCCTAGACTAGCACTTATACACCCAGTCTCCAGTCTGGCCCCTGAAGACCCAAGTTTTAAGCAGATCCCCACAGCTCCATATTCCAGAACCCCATGATTCCAGGCACCAGGCCAGCCCCTGCAATCTTGGCCTCCAGACTGGTGTTTGTAGACCCTGGGTCCATTCCTGCCCCAACACCAGGCTAGTTCCAGGCTCTAGGCCAATCCATAAGGCCCCCATTCTATTGAGAATAGAGGAAAGTTTTGCTTTTGTTTTCTGGTCCTGAACTTTGGGAGTGTGTCAGTTTGTTTTGAAACCAAAAGTTGAGAGCAGAAAAGGTGATTCCATGCAAAGTTGCAGTCAGTTCTTCATCACCTCACAAACTGAAGGAGAGAAGATAGTAGTGGAGCCTTCTTCTAGAGTGTCTCTATTCCCCACCTCTGGATGCCATCATACATGAGTGCTTGGCTGAGTGTGACTGATTCTCAATGACAATGTGGGAAAGCATGATACCTACTCCAAGTCACACCATTCTCTCTTTGTGGGGTAGAAAGAAAAGATATATACTCTTGAATTCATCATGAGAACATATCATCTAGGTAATCACCCTACAGGAAGTTGATATCTCTGTCACTTTAAATTACCCAATCTTTGGTAGTTGGAAATCCTGCTGTGTAAGTCCTCTCAGTCATTAATAAAAATCTCACAATCTCCCAGAGTAATCTGACACATGACCTTGAATACTGGTATTCCCCATTCTTCAGAGCAACCATATCATTTAGACCAGACATGGGTTCAGAAAAAAATTTATTCTCTGAACTCTGACCTTTGCCTAAAACCACTCCATATCCTAGGCTAGGCTCAACAATGCCACAACTAGCAAAAAAAACCTACAGTGAAGGTTTCCAGATGTTATCCTAAACAACAGCCGCAGACATATCTTTAACCCAAGTTCAATTGCATTTCTAAAACTAGCCACTAATGACATTTGTGGGTGCCAAGTGAGAGTAAATGAAGGACCTGAATATTGCTTTGCCAAACATTCCAACAAGGCCAATTACTAATCCTCTGGGTACTTGAAAGGTCAATGCATTGCCAAATACTACAGTCTGTGATAGTCTATTTAAATATTTCTCTAGAGCCAATGAAGAAAGAATTACAAAGAAGGACCTGTGAGCAAATGACAGCAGCAGAGACAGGAAGCAAAATGATGAAGATATGTTTGGGAGACACCACTCCTGAGCTTAGTGGGTTTCTAGGAAAACAGAGTTGAAAGAAGAACTTGAATCACAAATAAAAGGAATTCTCTCACCACATTTTTCAGGGACTCAAGGAAACAAAATTTCATCAGAATAGATTTGAGAAAACAATATCCAATCAAGTGGATTTGATTTACTTACTCATTTTATAGTTGCTTTTTCCAAATTTGAGGAATTTTGCATTATTCCTAGTTTTTAATTTGGATTGAATATAGTCCTAAGAGATCTGAAAAATAGATATATTTTGAAGATTGGCTTATACATTCATAGGAAACCCAGAAAGTGAGTAGACACTCAATCCTAGAGATACTGAAGTTTTCTAACTGAAACAGCTTGTTTTCTTAGTAAATTCAGACTGACAATGGAAAGCAAAATAAACTAAAATGTCAGAACTGGAAGAGCCATCTAGAGAATTCCAATATCCCACTTGGCAACTCGTAGAGTCTATTTGCGGCCGTGTTCCATGCCTGCAGGAGAAGAAAGCAGTGACCGCACTCAATCTAAAATTGGAGGAACCCACAATCAACTAGATCCAGGTCAGTGAAAACTAAACCTTTTCTCCCAAATTTTAAGCAGATTAACTTGTTTTAGCCAATTTGTTTTCAGTGAAGTAGTTTTTGTCATTATATACTTGACTTAAAGTTGAGTATTTTTCTCTGAAAATGAATTTGGACACATTGACATAAAAATATCAATAGAAAAGACAATGCATAATGTTGCCAGACCAGATGTTGCTAAGAACTACTGAAGTCACTTTTAAAACATCATGGTTAACATTTATGTCTCACTGAATACATTGATTCTGTAGATTTCTGTTTGTCATGCTTGAAATGTTTTTCCCCTTTTCTTGACTTCCATATTACTACATTGAAGTTAGAATTTGTGAATTAAATCCCTTAAGAATGATTAACCTTATAGTCACCATCTACAGAAGCTATGAATAAAGAGAAAGCAACTTAGCAACTGAGTTTTCCTGAAAACCAAAGATATTTTTACTCGCCTTTAATGAAGCTCAGAGGTCATGATGCTGACTGATTTCTGTTTCTAGAAATTTTTGAGGAAAACTATGTGGTTACATTTTTGCCAGGGGTTAGGGAAAGAAGGAGAAAAGGGGGAGGAGAAGAAATAAAATATCTTATGCTCTTTTGTAACCACATGTACTTACTCTTGAAACTCTTTGTCTAGATTACTCAAAAATATCTACATTCTTATATATATTAAATGTTTTCCATTAACAATACAAATTTCCAGTTGTTTACCAGTTAGCAATGGAAACTACAAGTTCATCTTAAATGACTGAACTTATGCCAAAAGAGAAAATTGCATCATCTCAGGTGACCCAAACATTTCTGTCTTGCCAATAGAAAACTGAGGGAAAACATCATGACTCATTTAATTCCATTTGTAAGATGTGAGTGGGGAAATATATCTAATCCAGTGTATAATTCTACATGTGATAAAAGTCCAAACATGAGGAAAATGTATTTATGAAATACCATTAAATTTTATAACTTTGTACCACTTACATAGCCACAATTAAAGATGCAGAAAGAGTGAGCATGAAAAAAAGTGTCATTTAGAGATAGATGCAACATTCAGGGATGTTGAATGAATTATCCTCAATGAGCTGTTATTGTGATAGTTACCCGGCATTCCAAAAGAAAAATATCTCCATTTGCAGCTCTGTCTCAATCTGTGCACATGCGCATTTATATGACAAAAAAGGACAATAGATCACAGAACGTAGCTGGCTTAGAATTAGTAAGGCTTTGTACTTTAGTATCGAATATGCATATTAGTATCTAATACACATACTGGGTTCATATACCTACAAATAACCATAACAAGAGAAAGTATAATTTCAAAACAATTGTTATTGATGAGTTTTGTCCTCCCCCAAAATGAAAGAAAGCCATATGTGAAATTTTAGAGCCAGAAAGGGAGTTTGGAAGTCAACATTTATAAAAAGATCTTGTTTTATTGTAGTACTGGTAAGATATTATCACTATTTCATTAATATATGAAATAGGAGAAATCTACTCTTCTGTTCTTCTTTGCAACACTGCAAAACAGCAGAGGTGAGTGGCAATGTAGCTCCATCACCCCCAAAAACCAGGACTAAAGAGATAATGAAATATTTTAGTATTGAATTTAAAATGTCATCATTCAGAAATACTATTTTTTTTCAGATGGGCCATACACACACAACCTGAGCTAAATCTATGAAAAAGATGAACAATGTAATAGAATTCATACTGCTGGGCCTCACTCACAATCCAGAACTGCAGAAATTCTTGTTTGTTATGTTTTTAATCACCTACTTGATCACATTGGCAGGTAACCTGTTCATCTCAGTCATCATCTTCATCAGCCCAGCCCTGGGTTCCCCCATGTACTCTTTTCCGTCCTATTTGTTCATTATAGACATTTTCTGCTCTTCTTCCATAGCCCCTAAAATGAACTTTGACTTGATCTCTGAAAAGAACACCATATCCTTCAATGGCTGCATGACTCAGCTCTTCACAGAACATTTCTTTTATTATTATTATTATTATACTTTAAGTTTTAGGGTACATGTGCACAACGTGCAGGTTTGTTACATACTTATACATGTGCCATGTTGGTGTGCTGCACCCATTAACTCATCATTTAACATTAGGTATATCTCCAAATGCTATCCCTCCTCCCTCCCCCCACCCCCCACCCCACAACAGGTCCCAGTGTGTGATGTTCCCCTTCCTGTGTCCATGTGTTCTCATTGTTCAATTTCCACCTATGAGTGAGAACATGCAGTGTTTGGTTTTTTGTCCTTGTGATAGTTTGCTGAGAATGATGGTTTCCCGTTTCATCCATGTCCCTACAAAGGACATGAACTCATCATTTTTTATTGCTGCATAGTATTTCACGGTCTATATGTGCCACATTTTCTTAATTCAGTCTATCGTTGTTGGACATTTGGGTTGGTTCCAAGTCTTTGCTATTGTGAATAGTGCCACAATAAACATACGTGCGCATGTGTCTTTATAGCAGCATGATTTATAATCCTTTGGGTACATACCCAGTAATGGGATGGCTGGGTCAAATGGTATTTCTAGTTCTAGATCCCTGAGGAATCGCCACACTGACTTCCACAATGGTTGAACTAGTTTACAGTCCCATCAACAGTGTAAAAGTGTTCCTATTTCTCCACATCCTCTCCAGCACCTGTTTTTTCCTGACTTTTTAATGATTGCCATTCTAACTGGTGTGAGATGGTATCTCATTGTGGTTTTGATTTGCATTTCCCTGATAGCCAGTGATGATGAGCATTTTTTCATGTGTTTTTTGGCTGCATAAATGTCTTCTTTTGAGAAGTGTCTATTCATGTCCTTCACCCACTTTTTGGTGGGGTTGTTTGTTTTTTTTCTTGTAAATTTGTTTGAGTTCATTGTAGATTCTGGATATTTGCCCTTTGTCAGATGAGTAGGTTGAGAAAATTTTCTCCCATTTTGTAGGTTGCCTGTTCACTCTGATGGTAGTTTCTTCTGCTGCGCAGAAGCTCTTTAGTTTATATAGACCCCATTAGTCAATTTTGGCTTTTGTTGTCATTGCTTTTGGTGTTTTAGACATGAAGTCCTTGCCCATGCCTATGTCCTGAATCGTATTGCCTAGGTTCTTCAAGGGTTTTGATGGTTTTAGGTCTAACATGTAAGTCTTTAATCCATCTTGAATTAATTTTTTTATAAGGTGTAAGGAAGGGATCCAGTTTCAGCTTTCTACATATGGCTAGTCAGTTTTCCCAGCACCATTTATTGAATAGGGAATGCTTTCCCCATTTCTCATTTTTGTCAGGTTTGTCAAAGATCAGATAGTTGTAGATATGCAGCATTATTCTGAGGGCTCTCTTCCATTCCATTGATCTACATCTCTGTTTTGGTACCAGTACCATGCTGTTTTGGTTACTGTAGCCTTGTAGTATAGTTTGAAATCAGGTAGCATGATGCCTCCGGCTTTGTTCTTTTGGCTCAGGATTGACTTGGCGATGCGGGCTCTTTTTTGGTTCCATATGAACTTTAAAGTAGTTTCTTCCAATTCTGTGAAGAACGGCATTGGTAGCTTGATGGGGATGGCACTGAATCTATAAATTACCTTGGGCAGTATGGCCATTTTCACGATATTGATTCTTTCTACCCATGAGCATGGAATGTTCTTCCATTTGTTTCTATCCTCTTTAATTTCATTGAGCAGTCGTTTGTAGTTCTCCTTGAAGAGGTCCTTCACATCCCTTGTAAGCTGGATTCCTAGATATTTTATTCTCTTTGAAGCAATTGTGAATGGGAGTTCACTCATGATTTGGCTCTCTGTTTGTCTGTTATTGGTGTATAAGAATGCTTGTGATTTCTGCACATTGATTTTGTATCCTGAGACTTTGCTTATCAGCTTAAGGAGATTTTGGACTGAGACAATGGGGTTTTCTAGATATACAATCATGTCATCTGCAAATAGGGACAATTTGACTTCCTCTTTTCCTAATCTAATACCCTTTATTTCCTTCTCCTGCCTAATTGCCCTTGCCAGAACTTCCAACACTATGTTGAATAGGAGTGGTGAGAGAGGGCATCCCTGTCCTGTGCCAGTTTTCAAAGGGAATGCTTCTAGTTTTTGCCCATTCAGGATGATATTGGCTGTGGGTTTGTCATAGACAGCTCTTATTATTTTGAGATATGTCCCATCAATACCTAATTTATTGAGAGTTTTTAACATGAAGAGTTGTTGAATTTTGCCAAAGGCCTTTTCTGCATCTATTGAGATAATCATGTGGTTTTTGTCTTTGGTTCTGTTTATATGCTGGATTACATTTATTGATTTGCATATGTTGAACCAGCCTTGCATCCCAGGGATGAAGCCCACTTGATCATGGTGGATAAGCTCTTCGATGTGCTGCTGGATTCGATTTGCCAGTATTTTATTGAAGATTTTTGCATCAATATTCATCAAGGATATTGGTCTAAAATTCTCTTTTTTGGTTGTGTCTCTGCCCGGCTTTGATATCAGGATGATGCTGGCTTCGTAAAATGAGTTAGGGAGGATTCCCTCTTTTTCTATTGATTGGAATAGTTTCAGAAGGAATGGTACCAGCTTCTATTTGTACCTGTGGTAGAATTCTGCTGTGAATCCATCTAGTCATGGACTTTTTTTGGTTGGTAAGCTATTGATTGTTGCCACAATTTCAGCGCCTGTTATTGGTTTATTCAGAGATTCAACTTCTTCCTGCTTTAGTCTTGGGAGGGTGTGTGTGTTGAGGAATTTATCCATTTCTTCTAGATTTTTTAGTTTATTTGCGTAGAGGTGTTTGTAGTATTCTCTGATGGTAGTTTGTATTTTTGTGGGATCGGTGGTGATATCCCCTTTATCATTTTTTATTGCATCCATTTGATTCTTCTCTCTTTTCTTCTGTATTAGTCTTGCTAGTGGTCTATCAATTTTGTTGATCCTTTCAAAAAACCAGCTCCTGGATTCATTAATTTTTTGAAGAGTTTCTTGTGTCTCTATTTCCTTCAGTTCTGCTCTGATTTTAGTTATTTCTTGCCTTCTGCTAGCTTTTGAATGTGTTTGCTCTTGCTTTTCTAGTTCTTTTAATTGTGATGTTAGGGTGTCAGTTTTGGATCTTTCCTGCTTTCTCTTGTGGGCATTTAGTGCTATACATTTCCTTCTACACACTGCTTTGAATGTATCCCAGAGATTCTGGTATGTTGTGCCTTCATTCTCGTTGGCTTCAAAGAACATCTCTATTTCTCCTTCATTTCTTTATGTACCCAGTAGTCATTCAGGAGCAGGTTGTTCAGTTTCCATGTAGTTGAGTGGCTTTGAGTCAGTTTCTTAATCGTGAGTTCTAGTTTGATTGCACTGTGGTCTGAGAGACAGTTTGTTATAATTTCTATTCTTTTACATTTGCTGAGAAGTGCTTTACTTCTAACTATGTGGTCAATTTTGGAATAGCTGTGGTGTGGTGCTGAAAAAAATGTATATTCTGTTTATTTGGGGTGGAGAGTTCTGTAGATATCGATTATGTCTGCTTAATGCAGAGCTGAATTCAGTTCCTGGGTATCCTTGTTAACTTTCTGTCTCACTGATCTATCTAATGCTGACAGTGGGGTTTTAGAGTTGCCCATTGTTATTGTGTGGGAGTCTAAGACTTTCTGTAGGTCACTCAGGACTTGCTTTATGAATCTGGGTGCTCCTTTATTGGGTGCATAAATATTTAGGATAGTTAGCTCTTCTTGTTGAATTGATCCCTTTACCATTATATAATGGCCTTCTTTGTCTCTTTTGATCTTTGTGGTTTAAAGTCTGTTTTATCAGAGACTAGGATTGCAACCCCTGCCTTTTTCTGTTTTCCATTTGCTTGGTAGATCTTCCTCCATCCCTTTATTTTGAGCCTATGTGTGTCTCTGCACATGAGATGGGTTTCCTGAATACAACACACTGATGGGTCTTGACTCTTTATCCAATTTGCCAGTGTGTGTCTTTTAGTTGGAGCATTTAGTCCATTTACATTTAAAGTTAATATTGTTATATGTGAATTTGGTCCTGTCATTATGATGGTAGCTGGTTATTTTGCTCATTAATTGATGCAGTTTCTTCCTAGCCTTGATGGTCTTTACATTTTGGCATGTTTTTGCAGTGGCTGGTACCGGTTGTTCCTTTCCATGTTTAGTGCTTCCTTCAGGAGCTCTTTTAGGGCAGGTCTGGTGGTGACAAAATCTCTCAGCATTTGCTTGTCTTTAAAGTATTTTATTTCTCCTTCACTTATGAAGCTTAGTTTGGCTGGATATGAAATTCTGGGTTGAAAATTCTTTTCTTTAAGAATGTTGAATATTGGCCCCTACTCTCTTCTGGCTTTTAGAGTTTCTGCCAAGAGATCTGCTGTTAGTCTGATGGGCTTCCCTTTGTGGGTAACCCGACCTTTCTCTCTGGCTGCCCTTAACATTTTTCCTTCATTTCAACTTTGGTGAATCTGACATTTATGTGTCTTGGAGTTGCTCTTCTTGAGGAGTATCTTTGTGGCATTCTCTGTATTTCCTGAATCTGAATGTTGGCCTGCCTTGCTAGATTGGGGAAGTTCTCCTGGATAATATCCTGCAGTGTGTTTTCCAACTTGCTTCCATTCTCCCCCTCACTTTCAGGTACACCAATCAGACGTAGATTTGGTCTTTTCACATAGTCCCATATTTCTTGGAGGCTTTTTTTGTTTCTTTTATTCTTTTTTCTCTAAACTTCCCTTCTCGCTTCATTTCATTCATTTCATCTTCCATCACTGATACCCTTTCTTCCAGTTGATTGCATCAGCTCCTTAGGCTTCTGCATTCTTCACGTAGTTCTCAAGCCTTGGCTTTCAGGTCCATCAGCTCCTTTAAGGACTTCTCTGCATTGGTTATTCTAGGTATCCATTCGTCTAATTTTTTTTCAAAGTTTTTAACTTCTTTGCCATTGGTTTGAATTTCCTCCTGTAGCTTGGAGTAGTTTGATCATCTGAAGCCTTCTTCTCTCAACTCATCAAAGTCATTCTCCGTCCAGCTTTGTTCCCTTGCTGGTGAGGAGCTGCATTCCTTTGGAGGAGGAGAGGTGCTCTGCTTTTTAGAGTTTCCAGTTTTTCTGCTCTGTTTTTTCCCCATTTTTGTGGTTTTATCTACCTTTGGTCTTTGATGATGGTGAGGTACAGATGGGTTTTTGGTGTGGAAGTCCTTTCTGTTTGTTAGTTTTCCTTCTAAGAGACAGGACATCAGCTGCAGGTCTGTTGGAGTTTGCTAGAGGTCCACTCCAGACCCTGTTTGCCTGGGTATCAGCAGCGGTGGCTGCAGAACAGCAGTGTCTGTAGAAGACCAGATATCAGTGAACTGCAAGTACTGCTGCCTGATCATTCCTCTGGAAGTTTTGTCTCAGAGGAGTACCCGGCCATATGAGGTGTCAGTCTGCCTCTACTGGGGGGTGCCTCCCAGTTAGGCTGCTCGGGGGTCAGGGACCCACTTGAGGAGGCAGTCTGCCCGTTCTCAGATCTCCAGCTGTGTGCTGGGAGAAGCACTACTCTCTTCAAAGCTGTCAGACAGGGATGTTTAAGTCTGCAGAGGTTACTGCTGTCTTTTTGTTTGTCTGTGCCCTGCCCCCAGAGGTGGAGCCTACAGAGGCAGGAAGCCCTCCTTGAGCTGTGGTGGGCTCCACCCAGTTCAAGCTTCCTGGCTGCTTTGTTTACATAATGAAGCCTGGGCAATGGCAGGCGTCCCTCCCCCAGCCTCGCTGCCGCCTTGCAGTTTGATCTCAGACTGCTGTGCTAGCAATCAGTGAGACTCCATGGGCATAGGACCCTCTGAGCCAGTTGTGGGATATAATCTCCTGGTGTGCCGTTTTTTAAGCCTGTTGGAAAAGTGCAGTATTAGGGTGGGAGTGACCTGATTTTCCAGGTGCCATCTGTCACCCCTTTCTTTGACTAGGAAAGGGAACTCCCTGACCCCTTGTACTTCCTGGGTGAGGCAATGCCTCGCCCTGCTTCAGCTCATGCATGGTGCACTGCACCCACTGTCCTGCACCCACTGTCTGGCACTCCCTAGTGAGGTGAACCCAGTACCTCAGATGCAAATGCGGAAATCACCCATCTTCTGCATCGCTCACGCTGGGAGCTGTAGACTGGAGCCCTTCCTATTGGGCTATCTTGGCTCCACCTCCCCCACAGAACATTTCTTTGAGGCAGCTGAGATCATCTTATTAAGTGTCATGGCCTATGACCACTATGTGGCCATCCGTAAGCCCTTGCACTATGCAACCATCATGAGCCAACCTATGTGTGGATTCCTGATGGTGGTGGCTGGGATTCTGGGATTTGTGCATGGAGGGATCCAGACTTTGTTCATAGCCCAGTTACCATTCTGTGGCCCCAATGTCATCAACCACTTTATGTGTGATTTAGTACCTCTTCTGGAGCTGGCCTGCACAGACACTCACACCTTGGGGCCTCTGATTGCTGCCAACAGTGGGTCACTGTGTTTCCTCATTTTTTCCATGCTGGTTGCTTCCTATGTCATCATCCTGTGCTTCCTGAGGACTCATAGCTCTGAAGGGCGTCGCAAAGCTCTGTCTAGTTGTGCCTCTCATATCTTCATTGTCATCTTATTCTTTGTCCCTTTTTCATACCTGTATCTAAGACCTAACCTCCTTCCCCACTGACAAAGCTGTGACTGTGTTTTGCACCCTATTTACACCTATGTTGAACCCTTTAATCTACACCCTCAAAAATAAAGAAGTGAAAAATGTCATTAAGAAGCTCTGGAAGCAAATAATGACAACTGATGATAAATAAGTCTTGTGACACAAACATTTAGGCAAGAATATCTGGTGATATTTTATAGAGATTTATTCTATTTCTTGATCGATTAAACTTGGGACATTCAATTATCTTATCCTGTGTCCATCAATTTTTATTAGGAGGACATATATTAGGCTAGGCTGACATATTCCTTAAGGCACAATAGTGCCAACAGCCCGTGATACTTTTAGGAGCCCTTGAAATGCTTAATGCTTAATTTCTTTAAAAGAAGAAGAAGAAAATGAATATAATCTAAGTACAACTGGATTATATTTATCTTTATGCCAATATACTCATAAAATACAATTTTTAATACTTTTTATGGAGGAAAGAACTCACAAGGGCAAAAGTTTCAAGGGCTCACAAAATTTATATTGTTGCCTGCTTGTGGGTATGAAACAGATTAACAGCAACATTCTTGATACCTTTCATACCCAGCACTACAGCTAGAATGAAGTTTTATTTTACAAGAGAACAAACAACTATATATGAAAGGGCTAAAAAGAACATTTTCATGAAAACTTACTTTTAAAAATTGTATCTCCATTCTCTATAGTATACAATTATCTACAAAAATAATTGAAAGTATTTTTTTTTTTTAGGCAGTGCCTCGCTCTGTCACCCACGCTAGAGTACAGTGGCATGATCTCAGCTCACTGCAACCTCCGCTTCCCGGGTTCAAACAATTCTCGTGCCCCAGCCTCCCAAGTAGCTGGGATTACAGGTGCACACCACCATGCTCAGCTAATTTTTGTATTATTAGTAGAGACAGGGTTTCACCATGTTGGCCAGGCTGGTCTCAAACTCCTGAACTCAGGTGATCAGCTCACCTTGGCCTCCCAAAGTGCTGGGATTATAGGCATCAGCCACTGCACCAGGGAAGAATTGAAAGTATTATTGGTTGGAGCAAAATAAATATAATTGATAAATGTAACTGATATAAATAAAGTTAAGGCAAAAAATATCTGTACATTAAAATCTGGTTTTAGATGCCAGCAAAGGAAAAGAAAGCACTGAAAACAAAACAGCTGAAAAGGAAATTACCAGAGATGTAGAAATAAGTTTGTATCATGAAACTGGATGATGGTGATCACAAATGTAGATCATAGAAAAGAATCCATACCAAGAATGTAATGAAATGTTAAAAGATTCAGATATAGTCAGACGTTTTGAAGTTAGGGATTAAGAGCCTTGGATCAAACAGACTTGATTTCTCATCTGGTCTCCAGCATTAATTAGCCTTATAAATGTAAGCAAATTGTTTCACCTCTCAACCTGTTCCTTCATCAGTAAAAGGGAAATAACATTACATGTCTTTTTTTTCAGTAATGATAATTAAATGATTTAAATTGAAACCATGAGTCAGCTGAAAAGTCATAAAAACTGCTCCAACACTGAATACCCTTCAGGGATGGCACCAGAGTCTAAGGTGTGCAGCAGACTGCAGTTTCAGACAAACGATAACAAGAACATCACTACTCTTCTTCAGTCCCCACAGGCACAGCAGGATTCAATGTCTGTCTCAGTCCACTGCATTTCAAAATCTATCATGGCCAGGCGCAGTGGCTCACGCCTGGAATCCCAGCACTTTGGGAGGCCAAGGGGGGTGGATCACAAGGTCAGGAGATCGAGACCATCCTGGCTAACACGGTGAAACCCCTTCTCTACTAAAAATGCAAAAAAATTAGCCGGGCATGTGGCGGGTGCCTGTAGTCCCAGCTACACGGGAGGCTGAGGCAGGAGAATGGCGTGAACTCGGGAGGCGGAGCTTGCAGTAAGCTGAGATCGCGCCACTGCACTCCAGCCTGGGCGACAGAGCGAGACTCCGTCTCAAACAAAAAAAAAATCTATCATTAATGTCATCCGCTTACACATACAGACAAGACAATGGCAGGTTGTTTTCTCACCTGGGATGCTTACTGGAGCCACCAACCAGGTCCTTGGAAATTAAAGTCTATCCCATCACTTATTTTCTCTTCTGAGATGAAAATACTCTTCAGTGTCTCTGTAGTTAAAATGAGGGGGCTGGTGGGGCCACTGTGAGATGCCTGAGCAGAACTAAGTTTAAAAGCTCTGATGAATGACAGATCTCATCCTGTTCTGGTCCTCTGAAAGAAGGAGAAAGGAGAGTCAGTGCCAGGGACCAAAAGATCTGTCTGTACTGAGCTTGTGGTTCCTGTGGGAGAGCTCAGAAACATGTTTTCGGGAGGACATTTCTAACCCATGGAGCTGCACATCACCAGATGCAGACATTTTCTGTGTTCTTGGGACCTTGTATCAGGTCACATCTTACATACAATGCCTTTTTAAAAATAAATGCATTGTCATAATTTCCTATGAGTGCCTATTTTGTAAATACATGCAAACAACACTGTGTTTTTAAAAATAAAATTTATCCTTTAAAAATGTAGTTGTATACCATCTGACCCAGCAATCCCATTACTGGATATATAACCAAAGGATTATAAATCATCCTACTATAAAGACACATGCACACGTATGTTTATTGCAGCACTATTCCCAACAGCAAAGACTTGGAACCAACCCAAATGCCCATCAATGATAGACTGGATAAAGATAATGTGGCACATATACACCATGGAATACTATGCAGCCATGAAAAAGGATGAGTTCATGTCCTTTGCAAGCACATGGATGAAGCTGGAAACCATCATTCTCAGCAAACTAACACAGGAACAGAAAATCAAACACCACATGTTCTCACTCATAAGTGGGAGTTGAACAATGAGAACATGTGGACACAGGGAGAGGAACATCACACACTGGGGTCTGTGTGGGGGATGGGGGCTAGGGGAGGGATAGATGACGAGTTGATGAGTGCAGCAAACCACCATGGCACATGTATACCTACGTAACAAACCTGCACATTCTGTACATGTACCCTAGAACTTAAAGTATAATTTTTTAAAAAATGTAGTTTAATTCCCAAGAAAAATGGAATGAGAAATAGGATAATATAAAAATAAGAATAATGATGACAATTGTGATAACGATTATAACTAATTTCTATTAAGCACTTTCTGTGAATGAAGTCCTGACCTAAGCACTCACTTTGTATGTTTTATATGTATTGGAAGCAGTGAATTTCTTTTTTTAACATTTTATCTGACAGATAAAATTGCATATATTTATCATGTACAACATGTTTTGAAATATGTATACATTCTGTAATTGAGGTGGATCAGCAGGACTTGTTTTCTGAGCACCAGTCACAACCCCGCTGGTCAAAGCAGGATGCAGTAAAGAAACTGGCTGAAATCAGCTAAAACCAAGATGGCAATGAAAGTGACTTCTAGTCATCCTCATTGCTCATTATACTCTAACTATAATGCATTGGCATGCTAAAAGACACTCCCAACAGTTCCCTGACAGTTTACAAATGCCATGGCAATGCCCAGAAGTTACCTTATACACCCTTTTAAAATAGGAGAAACCCTAGGTTCTGGAAACTCTCCACCTCTTTTCCAGAAAATTCGTGAATAACCACCCACTACTTACCATAGTTAAGTAGTAGCTATAAATATAGCTAGCCAGCAAGCAACCAGCACTACTCTGCCTATGGAAAAGCCTTGCTCTGTCTATGGAGCAGTCATTTTCTTGTACTTTGTTGCTCTAATAAATTTACTTTCAGTTTGCTCTGAATCCTTTCTGGCACAAAGCCAAGAAACTTCACAGGCTGAGCCACAGTTTTGGGGTTCATCTGCGTCATCTTTCCTGGTGACTACAAAGGGACAATAACATGAAGGGACTAACAAGCTGAAGGGAACTGAGGGAGACATTTACCTCAACCCCAAATTAAGACCAATTGGCACCATTTGGCCTTCATGGATGGGAGAGTGTCCCCTTTGTTCACCCTCCTATTCGGACAATTGTTTCTATTCAGGCCTTGTTTCTTTTATTTTGAGAGGTCCCCCACTGCACTGTGGATTTTTTTACATTCCCTCTAGGATTGTGGGTTAGAGTCCCACCCTAGGGGCAATCTTGGTCTTTGTCATACCACCATTTTCAGCGATCTCCTCTAGTCCCTCTTTTTCCTCAACCAAAATGCTTTTGTCCCTTTTTGTGAAATTCAGACTATGAGAATCCTGTCACCCTATTTTTGGTGGGGGGGGGTGTTAAAAAAACCAAGAATTTTATTGGCACAAATTACTGGTTTCTATCCCATATTTTCTCAACTATCTTTATTTATCTATTTATTTATTTTTTCTTTAAGTTCTGGGATACATGTGCAGAACGTGCAGGTTTGTTACATAGATATACATGTGCCATGGTGGTTTGCTGCATGCATCAACCCACCATCTAGGTTTAAAGCCCCACATGCATTAGGTATTTGTCCTAATGCTCTCCCTACCCTTTCCCCCCATCCCCCAACAGGCCCCGGTGTATGATGTTCCCCTCCCTGTGTCTATGTGTTCTCATTGTTCAACTCCCACTTATGAGTGAGAACATGCAGTGTTTGGTTGTCCATTCCTGTGTTAGTTTGCTGAGAATGATGGTTTCCAGTTTCATTCATGTCCCTGCAAAGGAGATGAACTCATTCTTTTTTGCTGCCACCCTATTTTCACCTCTCCTTCTATACTTTGCTTATTACAACACCTCTTTTCTTGTATTCCATTTGCCAGTGGACACAGTCATCACTCCACTGCCCACTCATATCTCATAATTCACTTTCATCACACCCTGCTAACTGTACTTACACCCTCTTTGCAGGAACTGGTGACAACTTCCCCACTGACCTTTCTTGAGAAAAAAAGGTGAGAATTTAAAAGGGAAAATAACTGGGCTCTCACTAGACTTAGAAAAACTTCTGTAGAGATCCTCATTAGACTCGGGGACAATGGTGAGCATCCTGAAGGACTCACCACTAGGGTGCCTTTTAGGCAAATGGAGCAAATTCAAGTTAGACAGCTTCAAGAGAAAGAAATTCATTTCCTACTGCAATATGATTTGGGTCCAAAACAAATTGGAAGACCAAGAAATTTGGCCTAAAAATGGTTCTTTACATTATAATACTATTTTACAGTTGGACTTATTCTGTGAAAAGGAAGGAAAATGGACAGAGTTCCCTTATGTACAGGTGTTTACGGCCCTTTACCAGAACCCTCACTTAAGGGAGAGCTGTAGGATGTGTCTAGCTCATGTTACTTCCAGATACCAAGAATATGCACTTCCTAGATGATACCCTGCTAGCTGCTCTCCCTAGGAGGCCTCCATGGCCCCTGGAGCCTCCTCAGTTCCCGGTTTCTGAGGGGAGTCCCACTAGTTCTCCAGTGCAGGATTTCACCCTAAGGTCATCAGACATCCCTCCCCTTTAGCCAATTAGGCCCAACCTATACCCCCTGCTGCTTGAGGAAATAAGCCCAACCAGTACCACCAGGAGTGAGGCCCCATATCAGCCCCTAAAACTGAACCTGTGTCCATTGCAAGAGGTAGCTGACAGAAATAGGGGAACAATCAGAGTACATGTGCCTCTTTCTGTGTCTGATTTGACTTTATGCAAGGAGAAATTTGGCCCATTTTTGGAGGATCCAGGGAAGTTTATAGAGGAATTTGTTAAGTTGACCATATACTTTGACTTATCTTGACAAGACAAGCAAATATTATTGTCCACCTGCTGTACCATAAGACAGAAACAAAGGATTCTGGATACTGCCCACAAATATGCAGATGGAGTAGCTGCTTGAAACAAAAGCCATGCCATTTATCATGTGGAGGGAGATGCAGTTCCAGACTTGGACCTCAGTGGGATTGCCAGAGGGGTTCCCAAGATTTCAAATGCAGAAATCACATGGTAACTTATTTAATAGAAGGTATGGAAAAGTGTATAGTTAAGCCAGTTATGACAAGGTTACAGGAGTAACTCAGGGGAAGGAAGAACATCCTGCTCTGTTTCAGGACAGACAGTATGGCTGAGGCACTCAAGAAATATACTAATGCAGACCCAGACTCCTGGGAAGGGCAACCTCTCCTAGGTATGCATTTTATTACTTGATCTGCCCTTGACTTAGTAGGAAACTACAAAAGGCAGAAATGGGACCTCAAACACCCAAGATCCAACTCCAACACGGCCTTTGGAGTTAACAACAATAGGGACAGGGCAGAGAAGGTGAAGAAAATCCAAAGAAATAGCCAAAAAGCACAATTGTTAGTGGCTGTCTTAAACTCTGTGCCACCTCAGGGTTACCCATTCTGAGAAAGTGTCATAAAATCAGCCTCTGGGATACCCAGGTGAGAGTCTCTGACTTGCTGTCCCCTGGGCCAGTGTGTTTTCTGTAAGCAAGAGGGCCATTGGGAAAGGGACTTCCTCAGGCTCTGGAGAAAGCCTGGGCCACCCACACTCATAATGGCAGAGAGAACAGAGGATCGAAGGGGCCTGAAGTCCTCCATGGTTCCCACTGGACATCTTGCCATCTCCACAGGGGAGCCTTGGCTAACCCTTGATGTGGTAGGTAAGAAGACTGAGTTCTTATTGGGTAAGAGTGCTGACCCATTTCTCAGGGCCAGTGTCTTCCTGCTCTTATACCATAGCAGAGATTGATATCCAAGAATTAGGAGATTCACCCACTGCCTTGGTTGCAATGTGTGGGACCATAAGTTTTAAACCTGAGTGCCCTATGTCTTTACTGGGAAGAGACTTACATTCCTAATTACAATCCACAGTTCAATTTGAGGAGCCTTATGATAAGGCAATAGGCCAGGAAGGGCTCTAAGTGCATACCTTAGTACAGACAGATAAATAAAAGACCTCCCTTCCACTGCATATTACTTCTCAAGTAGACCCCTCTGGGAAATAGAAGTTGCTGGTAGAGCTGTTAATGTACCCCCAGTCCAGGTTACCTTGAAGCCCAATGTTGGTTACCCATGGAGGAAACAATATCCATGAGACCTGAAGCACAATCAGGCATACAACCCCTGATAACAAAGTTTCTAAAGTATGGACTACTACAACCCTGGAAGTCCCCATGTAATAGCCCCATCCTGTCTGTAAAGAAAGAAAATGGGGAATACAGATTTGAGACCTGAGGACAGTTAATGAGATAGTAGTCCCTGCCTACCCAATAGTTCCTAACCCTTACACAATATTGACCCAAGTCCCTGAAGATGCAAATTGGTTCACAGTATTAGATTTAAATGATGCTTTATTTACATACCTTTACACCCAGACCTCTCAGTATATTTCTGCTTTTGAATGGACTGATCCAGACCCTCATGCTATATCTCAGTTTACCTGGACTGTCTTTCCTCCAAGGTCATAGGGACAGTCCTCATCTCTTTGGGAATGCATTGACAAAATAATTAAGGGAATTATAGTTAAAGAATGGATCCATTTTACAATATGTAGATGACCTATTAATTTCCAGCCCTACTACAGAATACTCTAATAAAAATACAATTCAGGTCCTTAATTCTGGGAGAAAACAAGGGTATCGTGTATCCTCCCCAAGCACAAGGCCCAGATTTCTGTTCAAAATGTTAAATAGTTGGGATACATGTTCTCTCCTGGGACAAGGACCCTAGCCCAGAAAGAAAAGAGACCATCCTGGCACTCCAGCCCCTTCAGACTAAGAAATAGTCAAGAACCTTTGTGGGAATGACTGAATTGTGCTGGATTTGGATTCCTGAGTTGGGGCTCATAGCAAAACCACTCTATGAAGGTCTAAAAGGGAATGATCATGAGCCTTTGAACTGGGATGGAACCTGCCAACAGGCATTTCTAACCTTAAAAGAAAAGATGGGAACAGCCCCTGCTTTGGGACTTTTCACCCTCTATATGGCTGAAAAACAAGGGACAATTTTGGGTGTTCTAACTCCAAGGCTCAGGAATAATCCTAGACAAATGGCTTCTCTAAACAGCTGGAACAGATGGTGGCTGGACGGCCAGGATTCTTGCAAGCTATGGCCACCATCACTCTATTGATAGAAACAGCCAGTAAGTTTACCTTGGTGCACCATTTAGATGTTATGACCTCCCCATCAAGTACAGGAGGTTCTAGAGGCAAAAGGACATCAATGGCTAATAGGAAGCCAGTTACTTAAATGTCAGGCCCTTCTGCTTGACACCCCCAGATGTTACCCTTAAGGTATATTAAGTTTTAAACCCTGCTACCCTGTTCCCAGACTCCACATCCCAAGAAACAGATCCCCAATTCATCCACTCCTATATGAAAACCATGGAGCAGACCTACTCTAGCAGGTCTGACCTTAAAGATGAGCCCCTGATAGCTTTGATGTCTTGTGGTCTACAGACAGGAGTAGCTTTATTCATAAAGGAGTAGTAAAGAAGGCAGGTAATGCCATGGTTAGCCAACAAGAAGTTATTAAGGCCAAAGCTTTACCGCCCCAGACTTCTGCTCAAAAAGTGGAATTAATTGCTCTAATAAGGACCCTCCAACTGGGAAAAGAATCAATATATTTACTCAATCTAAATATGGGTTCCTGATGCTCCATGCTCATGCTGCCTTGTAGAAAGAAAGAGGACTACTAACATCTAAGGGGTCCCCCATAAAACATCACTGAGACCTTGGAACTTTTAGATACTGTCCAACTCCCAAAAGAAATAGCAGTTATTCATTGCAGGGGACACAAAAAGGGAGACATGTCTATTATCAGAGGAAATGCTCTGGCAGACAGAGCAGCCAAGGTCACTGCTACAAGAAGATCAGTACTACTGGCCACTGCACTAATGCCTGATACTCCACCCATGTCAGCAGAATCATACTATACACCTGAGGAAATCAAATGAACAGAACAGAAAGGCTTACAAAAGAGTCCCTCATGGTAGTTGCTAGAAAGCAATAAACTTTCTCCCCAAGGCTAAGCAATGGAAAATAATTAAGCATTTCCATAACTCCTCACATTTGGGATGGAATTCTCTCTTCAAATTGGTTTCCCAAATATTCTTGGAGAAGGGACTATTCCAGACTGAAAAAGGGGTCACCAGGACCTGTGAACTCTGTGCCCATAATAACCCAGGAAGCCACCTACTCAAACCTTTATAACATCAAGGAACATACCCTGGGGAAGACTGGCAAATAGATTTCACTCAGACTGCCTTACAGAGGACAACAATATTTGCTAGTACTTACAGCCATTTTCACCAGGTGGATAGAAACTTTTCCCACAAGGACAGAAAAAGTATTGGAAGTGTCCAAATTCTTACTTAAAGAATTTCATCCCGAGGTTTGGATTACCAAAAGGCTTGCAAAGTGGTAATGGACCCTCCTTCATAGGTAAGGTGACCCCTCAGGTTTCCTCAGCCTTGGGCATTACCTGTCATCTTCATTCCTCCTGGAGGCTTCAATCCTCTGGTAAGGTAGAAAGAGCCAACCATGTTTTTAAAAGGACATTAGTAAAACTCTGTTGGGAAACCTGGGAGGCCTGAGTTTTTCTCCAATCCACAGCCCTCTTGTGCATAAGGAGGGCTCCAAGAGGAACCCTAAAACTTAGTCCATTTGAAATAACCTATGGGAAGCCCTTTTTAACTTCAGATTTCCTGTTTGATGAGGAGACAACTAGAACGCTCATTCATATTATCAACTTAGGCCAGTTTCGAAAGGCCTTTCAAGAATATGGAAATAAAGCATTTCCCTTTCCCACAAAGGAAAAGAATATGTCCCCTCTTTAATCCGGAGACTTAGTCTTACTAAAAACCTGGAAAGAAGGGAGGCTTCCCCAAGGATCTATTACAACCAAAACAAAAAGCCCCCTATCAGGTGTTGTTAAATACCCGTGCTGCTGTGAAACTTCAGGGAGTCACTAGCTGGGTACACCTGTATAGCATTAAACTTATTTTCTCATGAGTGCCTGCAGGTGCAAGAGAAGAACACCACCTACACTTGTGAACCCCAAGAAGATTTAAAGCTGTTGTTTGACAAACACACAGATAAGTAGCATGACAAGGAAAAGTATGTGCAGTAATAAACCACACCTGTTGTTCTTATGTTAACAATTCAGAGTTAGTTGAACTGCAAGCTCAAGGACTTCCACCCTTCTGCAACTCTTAAAAATTAAGGAGGAGTATATAATCTCTGAGGGGAAAATGAGGTAGATCAGCAGGACTTGTGTTCCAAGCACGAGTCACAACCCCAGCCATGACACAACTGGTCAAAGCCCCAATTTTGGGGTTTGCCTGCATCAGAATGGTTAAATCAAGCTAATTAACATATGCATTACCTCACATAGTTATCCTTTTTGTGGTGAAAACACTTAAAATCTACCCTCTTAGCATTTTTTAAGAATACAAGATATCGTTATTTACTACAGTCACCATGCTGTACAACAGATCTCTTGCACTTATTCCTCCGATCTAACTGAAATTTTATGTCCTTTGACCTACACCATGAAGGCAGCAATTTGTGACCTTAAGTTATTTCTGTGCTTACCTTTTTAAGCCTCAAAGCATAGAATTTACCTGTCTAAAATATTTCATTATTTGAATATAATTGTGACCCTACTCACAGGAAACTGTCAGTACCAACAAAATAATGATATTGTATTTATAATTATGATGGCTATTTTTAATTTATTTGAGTGTTTACTATGTGCAAAGTACTTTATATTCTTTCTGTTATTTGTTAATAATTCTCAATGCCACTCAATAAACATGATAACCTTGATATTCCCATTTCATAAATTAGGAAACCAAGAGACAGAAAGATTAATTATGGTGTTCAAGGTAAGTAGCTAAAACTTGGCTTAGATAGAATTTGGGTCCAAGCCTGTCCAACCCAAACCCCTCATGCTTTGCCAAATTCTATTCTGCTTCCACTTAATATAAATAAACAAGTTAGTTGTCTTAAATGTCTTATATTTACATTGAAATTGTCTTCTTGAAACTCTTTGGCCTTCATTTTTTTAAATAAATTTTATTGTGTATATCACTTTTTGAACTAATTTGCAGATGAACTAGTTTTCAAAGACAGATCAGGCTGAAAATTTTGTGTCTGCAAAGAACCAGCTAGTGACTTGTCAGTAATTTATAATTCCATAAATGTTTTGATTCACACATATCAGGAAACTTGTTTGAAATTAACTGTCTTTTTCTCCACCTGCACCACTTTGTACATGAAGGAACAGCCCATAACTTATACAGTGCTACTTTCCTCTGATAAATAACACAAGAAAAAATAGCAAATATTTTTATATGAGTATGCATTCATTTTGCTGTTGTTCATTAAAAACAAAATTCCACTTGAGGGAAAGGGGTTCAACAGAAGTGAAAAAAATGATTTTTTAAAGTTGTTTGCCAGTGGCCGCATAACGATCAGTTGCAGAATAAAAATCTCAAACACAGGTCTTCTCTTTTTACTCGACCAGTATATTTTCCACAGTACTTAAAATTCAGAGGATTACATTACTTCTAACCTTTATTCTTCTGTTACCCTGTTCTCACCAGCAAGGAAGGAAACTAACATTTATCAGGCTCCTATCACCTGCCCAACACTTGTCTTCATACACACTTTCCTCTTACAAAGGCATGACCTAAGGAATAAAATGTCCATTTATAGTTGAGGAAACTAAGTATCAGATAAGTTTATTTGCCTAAGATGATTTGTAAGCTGAACAAATAAATAACTTAGCCCTAAAGTGTAGTTTCCACCTTTCAGGTTGGCAGAGGCTTAACCAAGGGTATAGAGTAAGCTGAAGTTATGACAAAAAAGCAATAATTGAGGACTGAAGCGGTCTTGGAGGTAATGTGATGGGAGGCAGTCATGGGGATCAGTGAAAAGACTGGCCTTGAGTAGGAGGATAAGTCAGAATAATTGTTGGCGTAAGTAAGGGCACAGGGAATTCATGGGATCAGGGGAGGGGCACCAACACAATATCTTTATTTTGACTTCATCTAAAGAAAAATCTAAATTGTCTGATTTTTAGGTTTAAAAAATACATAAAAATACAAAGAAGAGAAAAAACAAGTGCCGTTTTCTTATAATCAATAAGCTACTATTTTAACCATGGAATACTACGCAGCCATAAACATGAGTTCATGTCCTTTGTAGGGACATGGATGAAGCTGGAAACCATCATTCTCAGCAAACTAACACAGGGACAAAAAACCAAACACCGCATGTTCTCACTTATAGGTGGGAATTGAACAATGAAAACACATGGACACAGGAAGGGGAACATCACATACCGGGGCCTGTTGTGGGGTGGGGAGGGGGGAGAGATAGCATTAAGAGACATACCTAATGTTAAATGACGAGTTACTGGGTGCAGCACACCAACATGGCACATGTATACATATGTAACTAACCTGCATGTTGTGCACATGTACCCTAAAACTTAAAGTATACTTAAAACAAAGTCTAACATATCTGTTTTATGAGGTTTCTTTCCATTTTTAATTACACAAAGTCATGTGCTGATATATTGTGCTTATTAAATTAGGATATAAAAAGTAGAAGTAAAAGACTCCTCTGCTCTTCTACTTCTCATGACATAAAAATACTATTCTCTGCCTTCACACACACAAATACATACACATGCACACACAGAGAAAATATTTTTGATGTTTAGTGGTTTATTTTCTATTAACGTTATCATACTAAATGCATCATTTTTAACTTACTTTGCACTCAACGTTGTTTTTCAGATTGATCTGTATTAACAAGTAAAAATACAATTGATTTCTTTTAACTGCTGTACAGTAATCCATCATACACCATGGTTGCCTAAGCAATCCCCTAGTTGATTACTTCTATGTTTTATTACAAACAATTCTGTGGTGAAAATCCTTGTACACGTTTCCATGTACACATTCATGAAATTCTTAGGTATCAAGAATATCTAACTTTGTTGTTCTCTAAATAGATACCTACGAATGAATCAAATGGTTAGTACTTATTTTAACAAATACCATCAAAGAGCTTTCCATGCTGACTGTGCCACCATCAGCATACGACAGAGCTGCCACTTCCCATCTCTGGCCACACTTGATATTGTCAAGTGATTTAGTCTTTGCCAATATGTGAAATATGTGAAAATTGATTCTTATTGTTACTATAATTGGCATTTCCCTGATTACCACCAAAGTTGGGCATCTTTAAAATATTTGTATAAACAGTAAATTTTTTGTTTATACTCTTACCTATTTATATATTGGTTGTTTAACTTTTTCTTCTTATACTCTAGCAGTGCTTTATATATTCTGATTCTTTGGCTATTATACATGTTGCAAATACCTTCTGCCAGGCAGTGACTGGTCTTCTGACTCTGTCTATGGTGTCTTCTTATAATTCAAAAGCAATTTATTTATTACATGGCCACATTTATTGATCCGAATTTTATCTCTCATTTCAGAAAGCCTTCTCTGGCCTAGATCATGAATATATTCTCAAATAATATCTTCTATTAATTTTTAAAAAGAAATACTTGAGTTTAGGATTTTTTTCATCTGGAATTTATTTTCATAGTCATGTAAAGTAGGAACCTAATTTTATGTTAAAACCTTCAAGTGGCTTCACATTTTCTTACAGGACTGAGGCCAAATACACTGTGTCCTGAAAGCACATGCTGATTCTGTAACTGTAATTCCCTTTTCATTCCTCACATTTTTAGTTGATTCATCTGACTCCTTTTACTCATACTTCAACATCCAGTGAAATATAGCCTCTTGCATGTAATACTCCTTGATCCACTCAGTGTTGAAAACCCTTCACTCATCTCCTGACTATACCTGGCTCATACACTATTGTTGCATTCATCACATTGTGAAGTCATTCATTTGCATGCCAAGATTCTACTCTTGATTCTGAAATACCCCTTAATTGATGATCACCCTACTGTGTCTTCTCATGCCTCTAACTTATGAATGAGCTTATTCCTCTAGAATGAGAATGTTCTTTTCTACTTTTGTTCCTGACTAACTCTGACTCTACTCTACTAGGTTTGTTTTTCTTTTTCCCTAAAGGTGCACTCTTAGATGTGTAAAAATATTTGCCTAAAAGAATATTTGTTGCAGTACTCTTTATAATAGCAAAAACTAGAACCAATCTAAATTCATTAATAGGGGTTCAGTTAAATAAATTTAGTAAAGCTATATAATAAATACTAAACAGTCATCCATATTGAGTCACAGAAAAAATTTACATTATGCAGATATGTATTGGGCATTAATTGAAATATGAAACTCAGATTAAACAAATCAGTATGGAAATAAAATATTATCCCATATATTACATATCACATATTTATGTCATACACCTATCATATGATATACTGTATATAAAGAGAGGGAGAGGGAAATAGAGAAGAAAAGGGAGGAAGAGGAGAAAGAAGGGGAGGAAAAGGAGAAGAAAAGATGATGAGGACTGGAAGAGTATCTACCAAAATGTTGATAGTGATTATCTCTAGGTAATGGGCTAATAGGTGGATTTATACAAGTGTGTTGGAGGAAGTATATTGACCATCTTTATTTTCTTATTTTCTAAATTTGCTAAAACAAATATGGATTATGAAGGAAAGACATTTTACATGGTCTCTAAAATAAAGATACAACTATCTTTGCAAACAAGATTAGTAATAATTTTAATTACTAGAAAACTACTCAGAATATTTACCCATGTATTTAATCTAGCAAGTTGAAATTTTTCGAAAGTAAGCAATATTTATAAGTTAATGGGAATGTTGTTCATCATAATTTGGACAATAAAAATAGGGGTACACTGGTATTAGTCTTTCTATTAGATATTTTAACTGTACTGAAAATCAGGGTACTTTAAATTACAACTAAAATAAGTCTGCTTTTCACATATGTTTATTGTGGCACTATTCACAATAGCAAAGACTTGGAACCAGCCCAAATGTCCAACAATGATAGACTGGATTAAGAAAATGTGGCATATATACACCATGGAGTACTATGCAGCCATAAAAAATGATGAGTTCATGTCCTTTGTAGGGAAATGGATGAAATTGGAAATCATCATTCTCAGTAAACTATCGCAATGACAAAAAACCAAACACCACATGTTCTCACTCATAGGTGGGAATTGAACAACGAGAACACATGGACACAGGAAGGGGAACATCACACTCTTGGGACTGTTGTGGGGTGGGGGAAGGGGGGAGGGATAGCATTAGGAGATATACCTAATGCTAAATGACGAGTTAATGGGTGCAGCACACCAGCATGGCACATGTATACATATGTAACTAACCTGCACTTGTGCACATGTACCCTAAAACTTAAAGTATAATAATAATAAAATAAAAAATAAATAAAATAAAATAAAATAAGTGTGCTTTTCTAAAAAGTCTTTTGAGATGAAATCGTAGCAAGCTGGCCAAAAGACAGGCTATTTTTTAGCGATCCTCGTCATGATTTCATATTTCTTAATTAATTAAATAATACTTTTATCATCTAACAGCAGAAATGAATGGGTACAGAATTCAAGGTCTCAATTATAGCTACCAATTATTAATTAGCTTCCCAAAATGTGACAAAGTGAAAGAAGGCAATATTTCTTTTGCCAAAAATTCTGCAATTGTCATTTTTATTAGACAGAGTTATGGGGATAAAACAAGAAATATTTCCTGATAATCTCCCAAATGTGGTGGACACTAATTTCTTGGAGACTAATTTTGCACTTTTTGTGACTTTTTTAACTTTTATTTTAGATTCAGGGGTACATGTGCAGGTTTGTTAAATAGGTATCATGGGGGTTTGGTGTACAGATTATTTCGTCACCCAGGTAATAAGCATGGCATAGTTTTTCAATCCTCACCTTCCTTCCACCCTCTACCTTCTAGTAGGCCTTGGTGTTTGTTGTTCCCTCTTTTGTGGCCATGTGAATTCAGTGTTTAGCTCCAATTTATAAGTGAGAACGTGTGGTTTTGATTTTCTGTTCCTGCGTTAGTTCACTTAGGATGATGGCCTCTTAGAGATTAATTTTGAATATTTCTTCCTATAACAGAGAAATTTCTTTTCATATGAATTTCTAGGTTGTTTTTTCCTAGTGTAAAAAGTGAATATGTTGTAACATGAGGAATTACAGACTGTTTGTCCAACAGAGGGTAAGTTTAATATAAATTATGGGAGCCTACAATCTTAAAAGGTGAAGCTTTGGAAGGGATATTGTGAGAGTTTGTAAAACCAGGGAAAAGATGGAATGAAGGTGGACCTACGTTTTAGATTCCAGAGTTTGAAATGAGAAGACTAAGGTAAAATAAAAAGAAACGCCATGTTGTATTACTCAGCAACAAAAAAAAAATTACTCTAAAGGCAGCATGTATTTCAAGCCTAAAAGAGAAAAACAAAAGAAAGCGATTTCTTTATAGAAGGTTAGGAAAGGGTTGAGGTATGTTGCGGGAAGTCAGGGACCCTGAATGGAGGGACCAGCTGAAGCCACAGCAGAAGAACATGAATTGTGAAGATTTCATGGACATTTATTAGTTCCCAAAATTAATACTTTTATAATTTCTTATGCCTGTCTTTACTGCAGTCTCTGAACATAAATGGTGAAGATTTCATGGACATTTATCACTTCCCCAATCAATACTCTTATAATTTCCTATGCCTGTCTTTACTTTAATCTCTTAATCCCATCATCTTCATAAGGTGAGGATGTATGTCGCCTCAGGACCCTGTGATGATTGCGTTAACTGTATAAATTGTTTGTGAAACATGTGTTTGAACAATATGAAATCTGATTGTACAACATGGGTGTTTGAACAATATGAAATCAGGACACCCTGAAAAAGAACAGAATAACAGCGATTTTCAGGGAACAAGGAAAGATAACCATAAGGTCTGACTGCCTGTGGGGTCAGGCAGAATAAAGCCATATTTTTCTTATTGCAGGGAGCCTATAAATGGATGTGTGAGTAGGAGAAATATCACTGAATTCTTTTCCCAGCAAAGAATATTAATAATTGATAACCCTGGGGAAGGCCAGGTGTAGGCCTATAGATGACCACTCTGGGAGTGTCTGTCTTATGCGGTTAAGATAAGAGATGAAATATGCCCCGGTCTCCTGCAGTGCCCTCAGGCTTACTAGGATTAGGAAATTCCAGCCTGGTGAATTCTAGTCAGACCAGTTGTCTGCTCTCAAACCCTGTTTCCTGTTAAGATGTTTATCAAGACAATGTGGGCCCAGTGGGACATGGACCCTCATCAGTAATTCTAATTTCACCCTTGCCTTATGATCTTGCTCTGCCCTTTTGCCTTGTGATCTTTTATTGCCCTTTGAAGCATGTGATCTCTGTGACCCACTCCCTATTCATACACCCCTCCCCTTTTGAAATCCCGAATAAAAACTTGCTGGTTTTGTGGCTTGGGGTCGCCATCACAGTCCTACCAATATGTGATGGCACCCCCAGAGGCCCAGCTGTAAAATTTCTCTCTTTGTACTCTTTCTTTCTCAGACTGGCCAACACTTAGGGAAAATAGAAAAGAACCTATGTTGAAATATTGGGGGCTGGTTCCCCCAATAGAGGTAGACATGATAATATCAAATAAGCATATTGGGAGTTCACCACATTCCAGAAACTGCTTTAAGAACTTTAGAGAGATTAATCTAATTGTCACAATAACACTTTGAGACATGTATTCTCATTATCTTTTATTTCCCCAGCTTTATTGAGGTATATAGGTGACACCTTAAAAAAGAAAGAAGTTCTGTCATTTGCAGCAAGGTATACGGACCTGGAAGACATTATGCTAAGTGAAATAAGTCAGACACAGATAGACAAATACTGCATGACCTCACTTATACTTGTAATCTAAAATATCTTTACTTTTACTTTAAAGACAGGCATCAGAGGTTTCTAGAAATCTCATCATTTTACTCAAGATCATGCCACTAGCAAGCATAGAAAATAAGCTTCAATACTATGCAACCATAAAAAGGAATGAGATCATGTCCTTTGCAGGAACATAGATGGAGCTGGAAGCCATTATCTTCAGCAAACTAAGGCAGGAACAGAAAACCAAACACTGCATGTTCTCACTTATGGGTGGGAGCTGAACAATGAGAACACGTGGACACAGGGAGGGGAACAACACTCCCTAGAGCCTGTCAGGGGAGGGTGGGGAGGGAGAGCATTAGAGAAAAGAGCTAATGTATGCTGGGCTTAATATCTAGGTGATGAGTTGATAGGTGCAGCAAATCACCATGGCACACGTTTACCTATGTAACAAGCCTGCACATCCTGCACATGTACCCTGGAACTTTTAAAAAAATTAAAGAAAGGGCTGGGCACGGTGGCTCATGCCTGTAATCCCAGCACTTTGGGAGGCCAAGGTGAGCAGATCACAAGGTCAGGAGATCGAGACCATCCTGTGAATGGTGAAACCCCATCTCTACTAAAAAATACAAAAAGTTGGCCGGGCACGGTGGTGGGTGCCTGTAGTCCCAGCTACTCGGGAGGCTGAGGCAGGAGAATGGCATGAGCCCAGGAGGCAGAGCTTGCAGTGAGCTGAGATCACACCACTGCACTCCAGCATGGGCGACAGAGCGAGACTCTGTCTCAAAAAAAAAAAAAAGAAAGAAAATAAGATTCAAACTCAGATTGCTCTATCTCCAGAGCCAAACTCCTAACCTCTCTGCTATAGTGTAGCAGCGGTATTGCTGATGTCACACAATGTGACGAGAAGAAATAGAAGCCAGGCCTGGATGCAGAAAAGCCTGCTATATATGGCTAAGTGTTAAGTAACATTTTGCCTCGTGTTTCTACAACTCAATTAATTATCACACAGACTCAAATGATGTCAACATGGATTGCTACTTAAAGATCTGGATGATGGATCAAAAATAACTCATTTTAAGCTTTGGTTTAGTCACTTCAAAAATTGATAATCTTGATTAATTGACCAACTACATCAGTAAACAGAGCTTCCTCATTTCTAAAATAGGAATAATAATCATTCGTACCATGTATATTTCATATAGTTGTTTTATAATCAAATTATGCAATTCAAGTGAAAATACTAAATAAACAATAAAAGTCAGTGAAGGCTGGGCGTGGTGGCTCATGCCTGTAATCCCAGCACTTTGGAAGGCCTCAGTGGGCAGATCACTTGAGGCCAGGAGTTCTAGACCAGCCTGGCCAACATGGAAAAACTCCATCTCTACTAAAAATACAAAAATTAGCTGGGCATGGTGATGGGTGCCTGTAACCTCAGCTACATAGGAGGCTGTAGCACAAGAATCACTTAAACCTGGGAGGCGAAGGTTGCAGTGAGCTGAGATCGTGCCACTGCACTCCAGCCTGGGTGTTGAAGTGAGACTCCGTCTCAAAAAAAAAAAAGTCAGTGAAGATGAAATTATGCTTAAGATGGAATACAACTATACATGATACAAAAAAAGTAAGGCTTGGTTTGTTTCACTTACAAAAATAAAGTCATTTTTATTTCCTGCTTTACCACTCATTTTCCACCTGCAATTTCTTACCATGTAAAGAGCTTTCTCATGGCATTTTTTACCTCTTCATTTCTCAGGGTATAAATGAGTGGATTCAACATAGGTGTCAGAATACCATAAAATAATGCCATATTTTTGTCTATAGGTAAAGTAGAAAATGGATGCACATAAGTAAATATACAGGGCACAAAGAACAAGGCAACAACAATGAAGTGGGCTCCACAGGTGGAGAGGGCTTTGCATCTCCCATCTGCACTGTGGGACCTCAAGGAGTACAGGATGACAATGTAGGAGGCAGCCAGCATGAGGAAGTTCAACAGGCAGATTAAACCACTGTTGGCAACCACCAGCAGACCAATGACATACGTATTGGTGCAGGCAACTTCCAGCAAAGGGTACAAGTCACAGGCAAAGTGATTGATCACATTGGGCCCACAGAAGGGCAACCAAAGGACCAGGAGGAGCTGAACCAATGAATGCAGGAAGCCCCCAAGCCAAGCCACCCCTACAAGCATGGCACAGAGATGCCTGGTCATGATGGTAGTATTGTGCAGGGGCTTACAGATGGCCACATAGCGGTCATAAGCCATCACTGTGAGCAGAATGATCTCAACACCTCCCAAAAAATGAGCTCCAAAGAGCTGAGCCATGCAGCACTCATAAGAGATGGTTCTCCCCTCATACAATGAGTCAGCAATGAGTTTAGGAGCCATAGAAGAAGAATAAAAGGTGTCAATAAAGGATAGGTTGGCCAGGAAAAAATACACAGGGGAAGCCAGCGTGGGGCTGGAGGTGATAGTGACCACAATGAGCATGTTGCCACAAACCGTGACCACATAGATCAGCAAAAAGACCACAAAGAGAACTCTCTGTACCTCTGAGTTCTGTGAGAGCCCCAGCATGAAAAATTCTGTGATATTTTGTGGTATGTCCATAGATTCCAAGGTCACTGAGAATGCAGGTGCAGTATTGCCTATAAAGACAAGGAGAAACATAAGTAATAGAACTAATTGCATGGGGGAAAAACATTGCAAGTTTTCCTTTAATATATCCTTTGTTCCTCTTAACCCTCTTCTGTTCCAAAATTCTTATACAAATTTAATCTTCTGACCACAAAATGTCTGTTAACTTTAGCATCACTGGGCACCACATATCTCAGTTATTAGATGAAAATAATAACTTAATTATCTAAATTTGCATTTTTGTGGCTGCTGGGATTGAACATTTATCAGACATTTATTTTCCATTTCAAACTGGAGTAAATCTCTGATCACTTTCAACATAGATTAGATCACACTTGAGAAAACCATGTAGAGTTAAGACCTCCTGAAATCTCCTGAAATCTCTGCATGTATGGTCCATACTTTGAATTAAACTTTCTTCTTGGGGTTTGCAATGAGGTTGGTTACACTTTTTGTTGGTTTTTCCAATGCTAATACAAATTGATATAAAACAAACTAAAGCAGGATTGGAAGAAACTGACTTGGTTGTGGCTAGAAACTTACCAAATTCTCTACTTCTCTACTTTCTCATTTGCTGCATCTGCATACTGTGAATAGCATCATGCCTAGGAAGACAACTTAGCTTTCTCCTCCCCCTTGTTTTGTACATTTTTACATACTTCTGAGTTTTGCTTTCTCTGACCTTGGTGTAATCCTTCTAGTTAAGGACTACTAGTCCCCCTGCAATCTACGGGGAGGACTCAAAGTAAAAAACAAAATTTAAAAAAAGGGGAGTATCAGTGAAAGGTACTAGTAGATGATTATCTGCCTATAACTACATAAGGGAAGCTACAAGGGCGGAGGGAACAGATGCTCTGTCTTAACCAGCTATCAGTTATAACCTTATGTGGCAGAATATTCCTACTCACCCTTTATTCCCCTAATGATACTAAGGAAATGCCTATGAAATAGACCTAATAGTCCAGTAGATAGTTGTGGGGTTTGTTGGAGGGACTTAAAAATTGCTCTTCTGGTCTTAAAATTTACATTTCTCTTATCTGAATTCCCTCCTCAAAACATTCACCCTCAGACATCCCAAAAACTATCAAAAAACTAAAACTCACCAAATCACTGTATTCAGGCAATAAGATATCAGACTCCATATTTATCATAATTGCTTCCTTAGCCCTCCCTGTTTTCCTAACCGACCACCTACTTCTTATTGTCCAACTCCTCTTCCTTACCTGTCTCTAACTCCTGTTTTAACAGTTAACGTTTCCTCCCTGCTATATAAACCCCTAATTTCAGTTGGTTGAGGAGACTGATTTGAGACTAATCTACCTTCCAACTGCAATACCCAATTAAAGCCTTTTTCCCCAGGAATACTCATCTCAGTAATTGGCTTTCTGTGTGGCCAACAGCAGGACCTAGACAAAACCCCTGGCACTTTGGTAACACCTGTGCCTATCTTAAATTTTGAAACTGTCACTAACCCTCTCCACCACCCTATCCTTTTCCTGGAAACATAGGTCTTCTTAAAGTAGTTGAATCCTCCAACTTGCTGCAGATTTAATGCTCAGTATGACAAGAATTAAAGGAGAACCATCAAGTGTCAGAAGAAGAAAGAGGTACCCAGATATATAGAAACACTGGAGAGAAAATTCATATACTGATCATGAAACTGCTACCTTTTTCTCTCTCTACACTTCATTGCAAGAAGGTAAATATAGCTCCTGCAAGTGACAAGTCTGATGGGGACTTTTTGAAGGTAGAACATTATGGCCAAAAACACAGACAACAGTGATGAGAGGAAACACCTACATAGAATTTAGCCTTTGCCAAGCACTATCCAAACACTTACATAGGTCAGCTTGTTTAATCCTCACATCATTCCCATGAAGTAGATTACTGTTTTTATCCTCATTTTCAGAGGAAGAAAGTAAGAAATGCTTAACTAATCAGTGACAGAACTGGGGCTTGTACTGAGGCAGTCTTGCCACAGAGTTTGTGGGCTTCACAGTACCATACTGTCACTTAAACACATCGGGTTTGAATCCCTCCCCTTCTCTGCCATTTTATTGGCTGTGTTACTATGAACAACTTCTTGAGACTCAATGTTCTTATCTGTAAAATGAAGATAAGAGTACAGCAACACCCTGAGGCTGCAGAGAGACATAAAAAGCAATGTATATCAAGCATTTGTACAGTAAACATTCAATACATGGAGTCTCTATGACCATCGTCGTCATCCCGGGCAATAAATTCTTCATATGGCTTAAGGAGACAAAAACTTAAATGTATACATTCAGGACTAAGCAGGTATTAATATGGGTATAGTTTCATTATAAATATGAAAAATGCTCTAATACTGATCCTCATGCAGAACACAGCAGTGGTAGAGAAAATGTAATCAGTGTGAGTGGTATACAATGTAGACAAATAATGGATTTATATGCCCAGAAATGAAAATGATAAGCTGATTCATCTCTGTGATTCAAATTTGTGGGAATGTCAGATAAAGTACTTGTTAAAAATTAGTAAAGAAAGAAAGTCTCCTGTTTGAATTATCCATGAAAAATAAAATTATTTTGTGGAAAATAATGAGAATTCTAGTAAGTTAATTCCATTGTATTTTTATTTGGGTTGCATTTTTCTTGCATTTTATTGTAAAAATACATTATAGAAAACTTACATTGACTGGATCTGGGGACACCAACAGACTAACAGGTCTTCAGATTTTTTTTTCTACATTCGAACATCATGGAATGATGTACCTGGAAGAGTGTTTAAAATGTCATCAAGGCCAACTCCAAGCGTATGATCCTGAATTTCAATAGTTCATGTTTTTAAATTCCTGGAGAGATTCAAATTGCTTTTTACATTGAGGCAAAGCACAGGCTAGGAAGTTGCTATTGATTACAGAAACTCAGCTAAGCTGAGAGTCTCTTAGAATTGTACTAGGTAAAATCCCAAAAGGGGGTCATTTATTTATAAGCAGCTGGGAATTTGTTCCATCATCCATTTCCCTTTTTTTTTTTTTTTTTGTATTTACCCACATATTTACCATTTCTGGTGCTTTTTATTCCTTTGCTTAGGTATTATTTTTGCCTCTGCCTGAAGCGCTTCTTTTAATATTTCTTGAGCAGGTGTGCTGGTGATGAATTCTTTTAGTTTTTGCATATCTGAAAAAGTTTATATTTCATTTTCTTTTTTTCAACTTTTTATTTTGAAATAATGTAGGCTTACAAGAAGATGCAAAAATAGTTGATAGAGTCAATCTCAGGAGCCCTTCACCCAGTTTCCTCCAAGAGTAGCATCTTACTTCCCTTTTATTTGCTGAAGAATCCTATGACATTTCAAACTCTTTTCAATGGCCTCCATGTAAATGGTGGATCTGAGACTCAGAAAAATTAAGTGCAGTTTATCTAAAGTCACATGAGTGATTGGTGACTCAGCTTTGAGACTCAGAAAGATGAAATGCAGTTTATCTAAAGTCACATGAGTAATAGGTGACAGAGACACAGCTGGAACCTGGGTGGCTCATCACCCAGACTGTCCCCTTCCCAATACAGCCACCACCTTCCACTTTTACTCCCCAGGCTTTGACAAGTCAAAAAGCACTGCCACTAAAATTCAAGAGAAAAGCCTCACAGAAGGAATAGCTGACTTGTTAACTCTGCTTTCTGCTAAGAATATTCACCAGCACAGTCTCAGAAAATCTTTCTCCCTCCACCGCAAAGGCTTATTATTTATAAGGTAGAAATGAGAACATAGGGATTATTAGTACTGTATGCTTTCCGCCTCTCCAAGGGAGACAAATTCTCCCTCACAGGATCTCTTGCTGAAGTGGTGTCAGAATGAGCCTTGTTCACAGGTGAGAACAACATTGATGCCATCATTTAATTAGTCCCCTTGAATAGAGTTTTGGTCTCACAAGGAAATAACTTGCATTCTTCCTTCTAAAAGTACCAAATGTCCTTCTAGTCTCTAGGGAGAGTTCACAAATTATCCAGAAGGAAGGAAACTAGGATATTTCAGAACCTGATATTGAAGGGTCAGTGTTTATAAGGAAATCACTGACTGAACAACAACAAAATCAGCAGCACTTATTGAGCATCTCTTGCATTCTAGGCATGGTCCTAGGCCCTCTCACATCCATCTTCTCTTTTGTCTCCCCCCTTCAAAGCAAAGAGAGAAGAATCACTGTCCATTATCCACACCTCTACTATGTAGCATGCTAAAATATCAAGGGAACTACAGTCAGAACAATCTGAATTGGAATTACACTTCCACCATTTTGATCATTCAGTATTTATTACTCAGGCCCTAGCTAATAAAAGACAACACTTTGCTAAATGCCAGGAATATCATGGTGAATATGATGAACCTGGCTCCCAGCAGCATGGAGTTTATATTCTAAAAGGGGCAGTGGCCACCTGCCAACCAAAACAGGAAGAAAAACTAAACAAATAGAATAATTACAAAATCAAATATAAGGAATTGCTGGGTAAATTGTATAAATATTTTTAATGCCGACATTACTGGCCAGGTCCAGGTCCATTCTGCCCACCTACAGTAAATCAATCACTGCAACTCGGGTTTTGTCAAGGAGAAAAGATTTATTTGCAAAGCAAGCAGGCAGGAGGAGCAGCTCTCAAACCTGCCTCCCCAAAGATAAGGCTTAGGGGTATTTATGGGTTAGGGAAGTGGGGTGGTCTAAAGCATGGAGAAAGGTGACTGGCAGTGGGGGAAAATGAAGTAATGGGGTTGCTCTGAGGAAGCATAGTCAGGGTTCAGGGCATTTCATAGGACATATGTACAGAAAATTGTAACGTTAGCCTAATCTGAAGGTGGAGGTGTTTGGCCTCCGATGTCAAAATGACACCTCTCCAGTACTGTGCAGGTCCAATTCAAGGGTCAGTGGTCTCACTGGTTTGAAATGGACAGGAGCTGACCCAAGTTCCTGAAAAACAACTGAAACAACCATTGCTACAGTGACCTATGAATGTTATCTACAAAGTAGGAAACATCTACTAAATTGGAACTCTACCAAGTTTTCTATAAACTCTTGTACTCTTTTCAACTATCCTGGCCTTCAGCTTTATGGAAAAAGGAAAAACAATAACAAAAAGCAAACAACCAAAAGGAAGCAAGGCAGGAAGACCTAATCAAATTAACTTTTCAGTTTCATTGATAAATGTTGAAAATTTCTCTCCAAAAAGGCGGCATTGCTTTACCTTCCTGCCTAAGCCCAACAATCCCACTTTTAGGAATTAATCCAACAGATATAGTCCCACATGTTATACAATAGAATTGTTGAGTAAGAGGGATAGACATGTTTAATACTTATCATATATGCAACAAACTTTGTAACAATTTATGTTTGTAAACATTTGTAACCTTTTACATTTCCGATACCCTTGTCTGTATTGCCACATGCACCCTGCAATTCTCCCACACTAGATGAATTTTATTCTAAGCCTTCACCAGACCTTTCTGAAAGCATCCAGAAAGTCACAAAATAGGGAAGATTTAGTTTGTATAAATTTGTGTCACCAACTTCAAAAGGCACATCAATATTGCTCAGCAATCCTAGTATATTGCTTTAGTCGACACGAGTTCCCAACTCTCAAGAACCATGTACAACCTTTCTCAATTTCTTCAAAATTCCCTTCCCCAACCTGCAATCTCCACTCTACACCTTTAACTCAAAGACTCCCTGTCAGTCTTGACAAAATTTACTTAGAGATACATTGTAATCTGGAACCTACCTTTTTTTTCCCCTCCCTCTCTCCTTCATAGGAGTTACACCTGAATTATTCCTGGTAGCTTCTCCCACCATCCTTCACTAGTTTTTCCCCAATAAATCTCTTGCATATTTATCTTAGTAGCTGCATAGTATTTCCAAATTAGCATCTGCTTCTCAGAGAACCAGGACTGATACAGAATATATAAGGAAATACCTTATAAGATAAACAAAATAAAGACAGACTACCATGTGAGACTTAAACAAGCACTTCAGAAAAGATGGAAAGTAAACATGTAAGAAAGTTGGGAGGTGGTTCACCTCTTAGTTATCTGAAAAAAATATGTAAAACCACAACAAAATACCATGGCAATGCTCTCTGCATGGCTAAAATTAAAGACTGTCAATACCCAGTATTTGCTGTCAATATAGAGGAGTGGGATCACTCATGCCCACTGGTAGAAATGTATATTTGTTTTTTAAGTGTATGTTGGAAAACTATTGGATGTTATCTACTAATGTTGAATATATATATATATATATATATATATGCATGCCATGACTCAGACTCCACTTTTAGGTAGAAATCCAAAACAAAAGTGTGCACTTGTACATTGGAAGACACATCATAAAGAGTGTTAATAAAGCATTATTTGTAACAGCACAAAATTGGTAACAAGCCAAATGTTCATCAATAATAGAATGGATTTAAAAATTGATGGTATATTCATATAACGAGCTAATATGGCAATGAAAATAATGAGTTACAGGCACAGATAACAACATGAACAAATCTTACAAACCCAATGTTGAGTCAAAGACTCCAAATGCAAATGATTACACACTGTATTATTGCTTGATTTAAACTTTAAAAATAAGCAAAACTAAGGGTGTGCACTTAGGTGGTAAATGTATAAAAGTATAAAGAAAAGCAAAGAAGTTTTATCAAAAAAGCCACGTTAGTGTTGGCTTTGAGAGGTATGATAGAGGTGTGACTGGGAAGAGAAATATTGGGTCGAGGAAGGGCTAGCAATCTTCTACTTCTTGACCTGATTTGTGGCTATATTGGTGTTCCATTTCATAATTCAAACATTTTGCCTTGATTTTTTTGCTTTACAAATGATACTATAAACATATATATTTATTTATTTATTTGTACAATGTGATATTTGATATATGTGCATACTGTGAAATGAACAAATGAAGCTAATTAACATATCTATCACATCACCGACTTATTTTTTGTAGTGAGAACGTTTAAAAATCTACTCTCTTAGCGATTTTGAAATATATATTATTAACTATAGTCACCATGTTGTGCAACAGATCTTTAAAACTTATTCCTGTGGCGAATTGAAATTTTGTACTCTTTGATCAACTTCTCCCTTGTCTAGCCACTGTCCCCATCCTCTAGTTACCAAAATTCAACTCTCTACTTCTATGAGTTTGAGTGTGATTATTTAGATTCCACACGTACATGAGATCATGTAGTATTTGTCTTTCTATGCCTGGCTTATTTCATTTAACATAATGTCCTCCATGTTCACCCAAGTCTTTGCAAATGACAGAATTTCCTTCTCTTGTAATGCCATATCATGTTGTATTGTGTATATATACCACATTTCCTTTATCCACTCATTCACTGATAAATACTTAGATTGATTTCATATCTTGGCTATTGTGAATAATGCTGCAATAAACATGGGAGTACAGATATCTCTTCAACATGCTGGCATTATTTCCTTTAAAAACACTACCAGAAGTGGGATTTGGGATCATGCGGTGGTTCTATTTTTTTAGTTTTTTGAGGAAACTCCTTACTATTTCCCTTAATGACCATACTAATTTACATTCCCATAAACAGTGTACTAGGGTTCCCTTTTCTCCATATCCTCACCAACACTTGTTATCTTTCATCTTTTTTATGACAGCCATTGTAACAGGTGTGTGGCAGTATCTCATTGCGGTTTTAATTTACATTTTCCTAAAGATTAAAAATATTGATCATTTTTTCATATACCTATAGGCCATTTGTATGTCTTGTTTTGAGAAATGTCTATTTAGATACTTTGTCCATTTTTTAATCACATCAATTTTTTTGCTATTAAGTTATTAAAGTTCCTAATATATTTTGGATGTAACCAAAATATATTATGATTTGCAAACCATCAGATTATTGTTTGCAAATATTTTCTCCCAATCTGTGAGTTGAATCTCCACCCTAATTGTTTCCTTTCCTGTGCAGAAGCTTTCTAGTTTGATGTAATCCCGTTTGTCTATTTTTTGTTTTGTTGCCCGTGCTTTCAGGATCATATCCAAGAAATCATTGCTCCTCCCATTTTCTTCTAGTTTTACGGTTTCAGCTCTTACATTTAAACCTTTATTCATTTTGAGTTGCTCTTTTTTGTTTATGGTGTGAGAGAAGGGTCCAGTTTCATTCTTCTGCATGTGGATATCCCAGTTTTTCCAACAACATGTATGGAAGAGACTGTCTTGAGATTCTTGTTGGTTGGGGTGGAGCAAAATGGTGAACTAGGTTCCACCAATCATCCCCCTGGCAAGGACACCATTTTAACAGCTACCTACACAAAAAAAGAACGTTCATAGGAACCAAAAATCAGGTGAACACCCACAGTACTTAGTTTCAACTTCATATTGCTAAAAGAGACACAGAAGAGGCAGGAAAAACAGTCTTGTATCACCAACACCACTGTTCCCCCATCCTCTGGCAGGGCAGTGTGGTGCAGAGTGTTTCTGTGCCCTGAGGAGAGGGATAGCCAGTAATTGTAAGGCATTGAACTCAGTCCTCCCCTTGTTATAGCACAGAGCAAAAGCAGACCAAACTCAACTGGCACCCACCCATGGAGGGTGCATTTAAACCAGCCCTAGCCAGAGGGGAGTTGCCAATCCTGGTGGTTGGAACTTGAGTTCCCACAAGCCTAACCACTATGGGCTAAATTGTTCTGGGGCTCCAAATAAACTGGAAAGGCTGACTAGCCACAAGGACTGCAACATTTAAGTGAGTCCCAGTGCTGAACTGAGTCCAGAGACAGTGGACTTGGGGGGTCATATGACCTACTGAGACACTAGCCAGGGTGGCTCTGAGAGTGCTGGCATCACTCCTCCCATAACTCCAGGCTGCACAGCTTGAGGCTCCAAAAGAGATCTCTTCCTACCAGCTGAAAAGAGATGGAAGAGTGGGAATGATTTTGTTTTGCATCTTGGATACCAGCTCAGCCAAGCAGGATAGGGAACCAGTCAGAGGCATGAGGGCCCTTTCCAGGCCTAGCCCTTGGACATTTCTAGACATACTCTTGGTCAGAAGAAAACCTGCTGCCTTGAAAGGAATGACCCAATCCTTATAGTGTTCATCACCTGCTAACTGAAGAGCCCTTGGGCCCTGAATAACTATCAGTAATACAAAGGTAGTACATCAAGGGCCTTGGCTGAGACACTGAGACTAGCTGGTCTCAAGTGAGACTCAGCATATTCCTAAAGTGGTGGCTACAGGACAAGACCCTGGGCCATAGGGGAGCCCCCTCTCTGAAGGGTGAGTCCCAGGCCAGGCAGCATTCACCACAAGTTGACTGAAGAGCCCTTGGGCTTTAAGGGAACATTGGCAGCAGTCTGGCTATACTCCCTGTGGGCCAGAGGTGTTGGAGGTCATGGGGTGAGACTCTTCTACCTTTGGAAAGGAAAGGGAAGAGTGGAAGGACTGCATCTTATGGTTTGAGTGTCACGTCAGCCACAGCATAATAGAACACCAAGTGGACTTCTAAGATTTTTGACTCTTGTCTCTGGCTCCTGGACAGCACCTGTGCACCTGCCCAGGGCCTGAGGGAACTCACTACCCTGAAGGAAAGGACATAAGCCCAGCTGGCTTTGCCACCTGCTGATTATAGAGCCCCATGGCTTTCAGCAAACAAAAGTGGTAGCCAGGGAGTGGTTATAGCATGCCTTGGGCAAGACCCAGTGTTGTGCTGGCTTCCAGTCTGACTCAGCACAGTCCCACAAGTGGTGGCAATAGCAGGGTTTGTGTCATTCCACCCGCAGCTCCAGCTGGCTTGGAGCAGAAAGAGACTTCTTCATCTGGGAGAAAGTATGGGAAGAAAACAAGAGTCTCCGCCTAGTAATCCAGAGAATTCCTCTGGATCTTGTTCAAAACCATCAAGGTGGTACCTCAACAAGTCCTCAAGAAACAGAGGATTACTGGGCTTTGGTACCCTGTAAAGCAGGTACAGTTTAGATCACAACACCCAAGTCCTTGTGAATATCTGGAAAGCCTTCCCAAGAAAGATGAGTACAAACAAATCCAGACCCACAAGACTACAATAAATATTTAACTCTTCAGTGCCTAGACATAGACAAATATCTACAAGCATCAAGGGACTCCAGGAAAATATGACCTCACCAAATGAACTAAATAAGGCACCAGGGACCAAACCTGGAGAAACAGAGATACACGACCCTTTATACAGAGACTTCATATTAGCTATGTGGATGAATTCGAGGAAATTCAATATAAAACAGAAAAAGAATTCAGAGTTCTATCAAGTAAGTTTAGCAAAGAGATTGAAGTAATTAAAAAGAATCAAGTAGAAATTCTAGAGTGGAAAAACGCAATTGGCATACTGAAGAATGCATCAGAGTCTTCTAATAGCAGGACTGATCAAGGAGAAGAAAGAATTGTGGAGCTTAAAGAGAGGCTATCTGAAAATATAGTCGGGGAGACAAAAGAAAAAGGGATAAAAAATAATGAAGCACAACTTCAGGATCTAGAAAATAGCCTGAAAAGGGCAAATCTAAGAATCATTTGCCTTAAAGAGGAGGTAGAGAAGGAGACAGGGGTAGGAACTTTACTCGAAGGGATAATAATAGAGAACTTCCGAAACCTAGAGAAAGAGATCAATATCTAAGTGCAAGAAGGTTATAGAACACCAAGCAGATTTATCCTAAAAACTACCACAAGTCATCTTAAATCAAGCTCCCGAAGGTCAAGAATAAAGAAAAGATACTTAAAGCAGCAAGAAACAAAAAACAGATAACATACAATAGAGCTCTAATACACCTGGCAGCATACTTTTCAGTGGAAAATTTACAGGCCAGAAGAGACTGGCATGATATATTTTTTTCTTAAATTTTTATTTTAAGTCCTGGGGTACATGTCCAGGATGTGCAGGTTCATTACATAGGTAAACATGTGCCATGGTGGCTTGCTGCCCAGATCAATCCATTACCCAGGTGTTGAGCCCAGCATCCATTAGCTATTCTTCCTGATGCTCTCCCTCCCACCAGCCCCACCCCCAACAGGCCCCAGCATGTGTTGTTCCCCCACCACTATGTGTCCATGTGTTCTTATCATCCAGTTCCCACTTATAAGTGAGAACATGCAGTGTTTGGTTTTCTGTTCCTGTGTTAGTTTGCTGAGGATAACAGCTTCCAGCTCCATTCATGTGCCTGCAAAGGGCATGATCTTGTTCCTTTTCATGGCTGCATAGTATTCCATGGTGTATATATACCATATTTTCTTTATCCAGTCTATCATTGATAAACATTTATGTTGAGTCCGTGTCTTTGCTATTATGAATTGTGCTGCAGTGAACATAAGTGTACATATACCCTTATAATAGAATGATTAATATTCCTCTGGGTATTTAGCCAGTAACGGGATTTTTGGGTCAAATGGTATTTCTGCCTCTAGAGCTTTGAGGAATCACCACCCTGTCTTCCACAGTAGTTGAACTAATTTACACTCCCACCAACAGTGTAAAAGCATTCCTTTTTCTCTGCAACCTCACCAGCATCTGTTGTTTTTTGACTTTTTAATCATAGCCATTCTGACTGGCATGAAATGGTATCTCCTTGTGATTTTGATTGGAATTTCTCTAATGATCAGTAATGTAGAGCTTTTTTTCATATGTTTGTTAGCCACATAAATTTATTTTTTTGAGAAGTGTCTGTTCATGGCCTTTGCCCACTTTTTAATGGGGTTGTTTGTTTGTTTTTTTCTTGTAAATTTGTTTAAGTTCCTTACAGACTTTGGATATTAGACCTTTGTCAGATGGAGAGATTGCAAAACTGTTCTCCCATTCTGTAGGTTGTCTGTTCACTCTAATGACAGTTTCTTTTGCTCTGCAGAGGCTCTTTAATTTAATTAGATCCCAATTGTCAATTTTTGTCTTTGTTGCAATTGCTTTTTGTGTTTTCATCATAAAGTCTTTGCCCATGCCTATGTCCTGAATGGTATTGCCTAGATTTTCTTCTAGAGTTTTTATAGTTTGGAGTTTTATATTTAAGACTCTAATCCACCTTGAGTTAATTTTTGTATGTGGTGTAAGGGAAGGGTCCAGTTTCAATTTTCTGCATATGGCTAGCCAGTTCTCCCAGCACCACTTATTAAATAGGGAATCCTTTCCCAATGCTTGTTTTTGTCAGGTTTGTCAAAGATCAGATGGTTGCAGCAGTGCAGTCTTATTTCTGGGTTCTCTATTTTTCTCCATTGCAGACCATGTAATTTATAAGCAATAGAAGTTTTTTTGACTCATAGTTCTGGAGGCTGAGAAGTCCAAAAGCATAGTGCCAGCATCTGAAGACATGATGACATGTCTTCAGACATGTCAGACATGAAGACGTGACAGAATGCATTACATGGTGAGGAAGGATGCAAGACGGAGAGAGGAAATTTGGCCAAATTCATCTTTCTTATCAGTAGCCCACTCCTGGAATAACTAACCCACTCCTGGGATAAGGACATTAATCCATTCTTAAATAGACCTAATCCCCCAATCACCTCTTACAGGCCCCACATTTTAGTACTGTTGCAATAGCAATTAAATTTCAATATGAGTTGTAGATGGGGATATTCAAACCATAACAATTTTCAACAGCTACCACCTGCTGCCTTTGGGCCACTGGAGTCCATTTTCCCCATATTAATGGACAAACAAAAGTACCTGGGACTTTCGCCCCACTCCAGCCCCAGAGAAGCCCTTAAATAACGTCTGAATGGTGTGGGCATATGAAAGCTACATCCTTAACTCAAATCAAAACAACTCTTGGCATCATTTACACTCCAGCATTTCCCTGCAAGATAAGGCTAAAGTGATCCTGTGCTGAAAATTACTTGAAACTGCATCCTTGTTTAGATTTCTCCACTACTCTGTCTTGCTTCCAGTATCCCCTTTCCAGTTTATCCTAAGAACATTTCTTTAATAAGTTACTTCCACAGAAATCTATGCCTTTAGATTTTCAAAAGACTTTTTGCCTAGTAACACCTAACCAAATCAAAGGTATCCCATTACTTGTATTTTATGAGATAACTCATATGCATCTTCTCATATGTGCTTCCTTTTCTGTAAATTGCCTATCATATCTTTTGCCTATTATTCTATTGATTTATTTGAATTAAAAAATAGATTTCTAAGAGTTTTGTGTATATTTGGACTAATCCTTTGTCAGTTACGTATCAGTTATAAGATTAACTTGTGGCTTATCTTTTCATTTTATTCTGTGCTAAACACTTTTATTTTCAATGTAGTTAGTTTTAAATTTTCCATTGTTAGTGCTTTTTGTGCTTGTTTAAAAAATATCTTTCTTTTTATGGAGCTGTCATAAATGGGATTAATCCTCCTTTAAAAAAGACTGTAGAGAGCACCCTCACCCCTACCACCATGTGAGGACACAGAAAGAAGACGGCCATCTATAAACCAGGAAGCAGGTCCCCAGCTCACCAGATATCAAAGCTGCCAGTGCTTGAATCTGGGACTTAATTTGGAGTCTCTAGAACTGTGAGAAGTAACTGTTTGTTGTTTGAGCCACCCAGTGTATAACATTTTTCTTATAGCAACCAAAGGGGACTAAGACATAGGGTATACTATGAGTACCCTCAAGATTGGCAAAACTGTTAAAGTGTTTTGACCATGCCATGTGTTGGCAAGAATGTACATCATCAGAATCTCTTATACATTGCTGTAGGGAGTGAATATTGGTACGACCACTTTCAAAAGCAAATTGACATTTTTTCGGTAAAGTTGAAACATTTGCATACCCTTCAACATAGCAATTCAATCCCTAGGTATATGCCCCAGGAAAACTTTTCCACACATACAAGAATGTTCATAACAGCACTCAGATAGCTGAGAAATATGGAAACAACCAAGGTATATTTTAAAAAGAATAGTAAAATAATTATGGCATATTCACCCAATGACATCTTGTGCAATAGTAAAAACGATGAAATACAATTACATTCAACAACAAGGATGAATTTTTGAAATACTATGTTAAGCGAAAAAAGCAAGTCAGAAGACTACAAATGTGTAACACTATTTTTATAAAATTAAAAATAAGAAAAATTAAACAACATATTGGTTAGGTGTATATACACATATGTTAAATCTATTTTCATAAAGTAAGGAAGTCATCAACCAAACGAGAATATTGGTTATCACTGTGAAGGCAAAGAAATAGAATAGAGAAGACACATATGACACAAGCTATTAGGATTGTTCTTAAGTTGATAACAAGTTCATAGATGATTATTAATTATGCTTTATAACATTAATATATAATTTTATTATGTATTACATATTACATATATTAAATAATACATACATTATTTGTATCAAATATGTTTAAGTAATAATATTTTCCAATCTTTTACGAAAGAAATCAGCCATGGGGCGCCTTCTCACCTCTAGCCTACCTTCCTTTTCTGCCTTCACTGTGGACACTTTCACCTTCCAAGAAGGAGAAGTTCATAGTCCCTTCCCAATACCATACCTACCACCACATTCTTTCTCTGCTCTCTCTCCAACCACAGCAGAATAAGTAAATTTATAATAACAATTACATCTTGTTTGTATTTATAACTAAGAAGTCCTCCCGGAAAACTCAGTACTGAAGGGTAAATGTACTGACAGAGTAGCTGAGTGACCAGTCAATGAGCTTCATCTACTAGTAACTTTCAGAATACCTGTAGTAGGAACATTAAAATGGAGTTGTCTCTTAGAGAGGAAGAGTAGTGAAAAACACAATTAAATCTTCTTAATTTGATATTTTTCCCTCTTGTGATAATTATGTCAAGTCCATAAATCTATGGGAACTGTATGCAATATTTTCTTTTTATAAAATCACCTAAAAATAATTCTAAGGAAATATGTGAATAAAATGAGAAAAAAATAAGATTGACCCAGATTTCATGTAGTCTATATTCCTGAACAAAATGGAATCATAGGATATCTGAGCTGAAGGTCCTTAGAGATTCGAACCAATCTCCTTAATTGTATACATCAGGAAATGGGAGCCCTGAGAACTTGGATGGAGGTGGGGATGGCTCTGCAACTGGAACCCTGTTTCCTGACTTTCCATCTAGTGTAATTTCCACTGTATCATACAGCAGTCTCTTCTCTTAATGCCAAGTTCTCATACCTTATGCAGCTCCTCCTGTAGTACTTATCCAGTCTTCTCACTTGTAGCTGAAACTCAGATGACTTTTTTCCCCTGAAGTACATGATCTACTTCCTCCAACCCAATTTCCCCCTCTTCCCTCAACCCAGCATGAAGCAGAAAGAAACATCTGCCATATCAAGCACACCTATGATTTCACACCTTAAAATGGCTCCTGAGTTGGTCAATCTTCTGTAAATAGAAGTCTAGGCAAAGAGTGGGATTCCTGAGTGATTGCTTTCCAGTCACCTCTGATCTGACAAATCCATGATGTAAGTGCTTCAATTTCCTCAAAGAAAAGAGTAGAGGCCAGGCATGGTGGTTCACGCCTGTAATACCACCATTTTGGGAGGCCGAGGCAGGCAGATCACTTGAGGTCAGGAGTTCAGAAACAGCCTGGCCAACATGGTGAAACCCCGTCTCTACTAAAAATACAAAAATTAGCAGGACGTTCGTGGCATGTGCTGCAGTCCCAGCTACTAGGGAGGCTGAGGCATGAGAATTACTTGAGCCTGGGAGGTGGAGGTTGCAGTGAGCTGAGATTGCGCCTTATATACCTGTCTTCATCTTCATGAATATATATATATACATACATGCATGCCTGAATATATATGTAAGACATACATACCACTATCACTCTACTTTAAAATACTGTATGAAAGCAGTAGTGAAAGAGCACTAAACTAGCAATCAGAAGTCTGTGTGTGGCCTATGTACATAGTTTAGCCTGTCTGTATCTCCACTTATCTTTTTTTCTTTTTTTTTGAGATGGAGTCTCACTCTGTCGCCCAGGCTAGAGTGCAGTGGCGCGATCTTGGCTCACTGCAAGCTCCACCTCCCGGGTTCACGCCATTCTCCTGCCTCAGCCTCCCGAGTAGCTGGGACTACAGGCGCCCGCCATCACGCCCGGCTAATTTTTGGTATTTTTAGTAGAGACGGGGTTTCACCGTGTTAGCCAGGATGGCCTCAGTCTCCTGACCTCGTGATCCGCCCGCCTTGGCTTCCCAAAGTGCTGGGATTACAGGCGTGAGCCACTGCGCCCGGCCACTTACCTTTAAACCTGAATAACCATTCATGCATGCTCCCACATTGTTCCAAGGAGTTTTATAAGGGGATTATTTATCCAACACAGATTAAGCTGGTGTATGAAAACTTCTGAGAATATTATGCTTTCAAGGTGTCAACTGCTATTTTATTGCTACTATTTTTTCATAATCAAGATCAACGTTTGCATTTGTGTTTGTTCAGCATCAGATGGTACTAATGAGTCTTCTTTACTACCACCACTCTCACCCAACTCTCATCACATTCCTGATGATTATATCTCATTCATGAAGTTGTTGAAAGGATCAAAAAAGTTAATACAATTAAAATATTTAGAAGAGTGTCTGCAGATTGGAAGAATTCAGTAAGGGTCAGCTTTTACCACACACTGAAATATAAACTCCATGAGAACAAAGAGTTTTGCCTGCTTTCTTTTGTGCTGTACTTCTAGCCCCAGGAATATCACCCAGCAAATGCTAAGTGTTCAATAAACATTTTTGGAGTAAATGAAATAATCAGATAGTTTGGTTACAAGGGCTTTGAGGGAAAGGATAGAGGGGTGAATAGGAAGAGAAAGGGGAATCGAAGATATTATGTTAAAACAGCTAGCAGCCACCATTGAACAACAGACTTTGATTTAGGTCTTTACAAAGTCTTATAGGTCCTCTCACAGCCTTCTGAAGCTGGTATTGTCAATATCTCCTTCTGTAAATGTGGAAATTGAGGCCCAATGAGGTTACATGACCCACGAATGTTTAAGAGATACCTAATCCGGCTCGTTTAATTGCATTCTGTACAAACTTGGCTCCCTCTAGCGGCAAAATGGAGCAAAGCAACAGGGGTTAAAGAGGGCAGCAGTCAGCTGTTCTGCTGGAGAGAGGAATCAGCACCACTGAAAGAAGTGCTGACAACTTGTTCTTCCTGGTTGTTCTCTTCATCATCCCAAGTCATCATCACCATCATTCCTGGTCTTTCAAAAGTTCTTGGTCATTCCTGCTTGGTGTCCATTTAGTCACACTTTATCAAGAGGTCCTGAGGAAAAGCTCTGAAAGCTGACTTAGGGACCTGTGTTCTAGTCCTCACCCTGCTCTGGAGTTAAAGTGTAACTTTTAGTAAATCCCTTGACCTCTCCACATTATTTATTTACTTATTTATTTATTTATCTGCCTGCTGAGAGCATGAAAGGGTAAGAGTAAAGTGGCTCTTTACTCTTAAAAGAAAAGAATGAATTCCATTGAGCACTGTGTTAGCCAACACAAAGGAATTATGTAGTGATTTTATTCATTTATCAATGAGATATCTGGACTTCCAAGACACTCCCTCATTCACAGGCCCTCACACGTTTCCTGAATGAGCTCTTAAATATCGCACTAAAAGCATCCTGGACTGTACTCTCCTTGAGGGAAAGATTATATCTTACTTTTATTTGTATTCTCACTCACTGTAAACATCCAATAAATATTTAATGAATAAAGGATTGAAAGAATATGTGGAATTATTATAACAACAAGAGCTAGGAGGATAATTGCCATTGCAAACATCAGACTGGAAATAAAAAGGCTGTGTTAGATGCTACAAGATGGAAAGTCTCCCAATTTCCTAGCTGGATTGAGATTCTCTGGAATGTCACTTCTCCCCTAAGCTCCTCTTGACCCTAAACAGCTTCCTCATGGCATTTTTCACATCGTTGTTCCTTAGTGTATAGATCAAAGGGTTCAGCAAAGGTGGCATCACAATGTTAAAGAGGATGATAAGTTTGTCAGCAGCCAGGGTGGTGGAGGGACGAATGTACATGAACATGGGGGGCATGAGAACCAAAAGGACAGTGATTACGTGTGAGCCACATGTGGAGACAGCCTTACGCCGGTCCTCAGATGACTGGCTTCTTAGGTTCAGTAAGATGATAACATAGGAAATGATAAGGATAAAAAAGGATGCTAAAGAAATCATACCGCTGTTGGCCACCACGATGAGACCTACCATGTAGGTGTCTGCACAGGCCAACTTGAGCAGGGGATGAACATCACAGAAGAAGTTGTCTATCTCATTGGGCCCACAAAAAGGCAGCTGAACCGTGAGGAGGGTCTGCAGGATGGAATGCAGGAAGCCAGCTAACCAGGAGGCCCCCGCTAGCAGGCCACACTTCCGGCAATCCATGATGGCTGTGTAGTGCAGGGGCCTACAGATGGCCACATAGCGGTCATAGGCCATGGCTGTAAGGAGGAAGATCTCAGTGCCACCAAAGAAGTGGGCAGAAAAGAGCTGGGTCATGCAGCCATTGAAGGAGATGATCTTATGCTCCACAAAAGTGTCAGCAATCATCTTGGGTATGGTAGTGGATGGATAACATATGTCAGCAAAAGACAACTGGCTCAGGAAGAAATACATGGGAGACTTCAGGGTCTTTCTAGCATTGATGGTGATGATGACCAGAAGGTTCCCCAGGACAGTGAGCACATGAAAGAGGAAGAATACCACAAAGCATGTATGCTGCATCTCTCTGCTCTCAAAAAGGCCAAATAAAACAAACTCAGTCACATTGTTCTTGGCACCCATGGATTATCTGCCCTGATGACCGACAAAGTGGCTGGCTGGCTCTGCAAAGACATAAATTATGAGACATAAGAAAGTTTTCTGAGATACCACCAAGATTATGGAGTAAGAAAGATACTAGCCTTCATCCCCATCACAAAAAATACATATATAATATATATAATATATTATTATATATATATATAAATTATATATTATATATAATAATATATATTATATATATATAATATATAATATATATTATAATATATATTATATATATAATATATAATTTATATTATATATAATAATATATATAAATCTATAATATATAAATATATATATCTTAAATATATAATATATAAATATGTATATCTTATATATATATCTCTAGAGCGAGAGAGAGACAGCTATCCACAAACCAAAATAGGTCTGCGAGGGTTCAAGGGCCCATTAAAGAATCTGCAGCAATACAGAGGAGCAAAAACATGGAGAATAGCCGCACACGAAGGATTTCTAGTGATATCTGCATACTTGAGATGCCAGGAGATGGTTAGGAACAAACAGGAAAGGTTGAGGCAATTAGTATCAGCCATGTGGTGGTAGTCATCAAGATCCCTGCTTTGCAGAGAACGCTAGCATTTATGCCACTGAGATAACCAAGAGCCATTCCCACCAGGAAACCCTAGAGAGGGAGACACAACTGTACTGCCTCCACCTGCAAGAAGCAGATGCTATTGAGCTACTTTGGAAAAGGAGCTGCCACCTCCCCAACACCATGCAAACCCCAAACTGCAGCTGCCCCTTGAGAGCTCACACTCAGACCCAGGGTCTGGGACTGCACTGCACCCACCCATGTATCAGACACTGGGCCATCACTAGAGCAAGCTCTGGGCCCTGGAGTCAAGGTCTCTCTGGGCATGCCCACACTTTGGGCACCAGTTCACCCTCCACAGAAAGTTAGTCCCTACCCCAACTCCAGAGCCATTGTAACTCTACATATATCTATGCTCCCATTCTTGGCTCCCTGGCTGCTTCAAAGCATTCACACCTCTAGCACTGTTACCTATGTGGTGGCAGGAGTGTCTTCACCCTAAGCACCAGTGTCATTATCATTCCAGATCCCAGAACCATAGTTCCTTCAGGTGTGCCCATGACCCAAGCCTCAGTTACATGGCTGCACAATAGGTGCCACCCAAAATACACCTGTGCCACCAACATCAAGAGGAAGCACACATACCAGAACCATGTCAAATGGTTCCCTAAGCCACAACTTCCCCAGTGGGAGAAAATTAAATAAGGAAGACCTTAGCAGCCACTACCAGCAACGAGCCTGAAAACCCTTGCTGTCACTGCAAACATCCAAGAATTTGGCCACTGAGGATCCCTCAAATCTGGGTCAACATTGACGTCAGCTAACAGGGCCACACAAAGACTATAAAGCCACATCCCACTGGTGCCAAAACCAATCCATCCCACCCACTCAGTCCATCCCATTATATGCTTGTGTCAGTCTGGGCCACAAGGATTGCAAAGCACCATCATGCCCCATAAGAGAAAATCTTTCCACACTGAAATTAGCCAATGAAATTTGCAAGAGATGACTACTCCACCAAATGTGCAGACATCAATAAGAGGGTAACAAGAAACAATGAAACACCAAGAAATCATACCACCAAAAGAACACAATAATTTCCAAGTTGCTGACCCCAAAGAAATGGAGGTATGTAAACAGGCTGAAAAATAATTCAACATAATTGCTTTTAAAGCTTCATGAAGTAAAGGAAAATACAGAGAAATCATTTTTAAAAAATCAGGAACATAGTAAAAAACCAAAATGAGAAATTTAACACAGATATTGAAAATACATTAAAAATCAAATAAAAAAGAGAGAAGACTTATAAATAAAATGAGAAATGAAAGAAGAGACATTACAACTCATACCACAGAAATATGAAGAATCACAAAAGACTACTATGAACAATTATAGACTTACAAATTGAATAACCCAAAAGAAACAGATAAATTCCTGGCCACATACAATCTAACAAGACTGAATTATGAAGAAATAGAATATATGACCAAACCAATAATGAACAAAGAGAATGAACAAATAATAAAAGTTTTCCATCAAAGAAAATCCCAGGAACGGATTACTACTAAACTCTACCAAACATTTAAAGAACTAATGCCAATCCTTCTCAAACTCTTCCAAAACAAAATGAAGAGGAGGGAATATTTCCAAACTCATTTTATGAGGACAACATTACCCTAATACCAAAGCCACCCTAGGAAACTAATAGAAAAGAAGACTACAGGCCAATATCCCTGATGAACATAGATGCAAAATTCCTTAATAAAATCCTAGCAAACCAAATTCAACAACACATTAAAAGGATAATCTGCTTTGATCAAGTGGGATTTATCTCTGAGATACAAGGATGGTTCAATATATGCAAATACTACATTAAGAGAATTGAGGACCAAAACTATATTATCATCTCAATGGATGAAGAAAAACTGACAAAATTCAACATCATTTTATGATAAAAACTCTCAACAAATTAATTACAGAAAGAATGTAATTCTCAACACAATAAAGACCATATGTGACAAGCCCACAACTAACATCAGATTCAATGGCAAAAAGTTGAAAGCTTTTCCTCTAAGATTGGGAATAAGACAAGAATTTCTACTCTCACCACTTCTATTCAACATCATACTGGAACTCTTACCCTAAGTAATTAAGCAATAAAATGAAGTACAAGTCATCAAAAGTAGAAAGGAAGAAATTAAATTTTCTCTGTTTACAGATGTGTGATACAGAAATCCTAAAGTCTCTCCCCCTAAAAAAGCTGTTAGAACTAATAAACAAATTTAGTAAAGTTGTAATATCCAAAATTACCATTCAAAAGTTAGTAGTATTTCTATACATTAACAATAAACTATCCCAAAAAGTCAGGAAAACAATTCTGTTTAGAATCACTATGAAAAAGATAATAATTGGAATAAATTTAACCAAAAAGTTGGAAGATGTGCACATGGAAAATTATAAAACATTGGTAAAATAAATTGAAGAAGACATTAATAAATGGAAATATGTCCCATGTTCATGGACTGGAAGAATTAACATTGTTAAAATGTTCATAGTGTCAAAATCAATCTACAGGTTCAATTAAATCCCTATCAAAAGTCTAATGACATTTTTCACAAACACAGAAAGAAATCTTAAAATTCATATACAACTTCAAAAGACCCAGAAGACCTAAGTAATTATGAATAACACTGGGAGCAACACACTATGTGATTTCAAAATCTACTACTAATTTGTAGTCATCAAAATAGCATGGTACTGGCACATAAAGACAGACATATGGACCAATGGAACAGAATAGAGAGCCCAGAAATAAATCCACACATTTACAGTCCAATTGATTTTGACAAAAATGCCATAAACACACAATAAGGAAAAGACAATCTCTTCAATAAATGGTGCTGTGAAAACTGGATATCCAAATGCAGAATAATTAAATTAGATTCTCATCTTACACCACATACATAGTTGGAAGTAAAGCTCTCCTCTGCAAATGTAAAAGAAGAGAAATTATAACAAACTGTCTCTCAGACCACAGTGCAATCAAACTAGAACTCAGGATTAAGAAATTCACTCAAAACCTCTCAACTACATGGAAACTGAAAAACCTGCTCCTGAATTGCTACGGGGTACATAACGAAATGAAGGCAGAAATAAAGATGTTCTTTGAAACCAACGAGAACAAAGACACAACATACCAGAATCTCTGGGACACATTCAAAGCAGTGTGTAGAGGGAAATTTATAGCACTAAATGCCCACAAGAGAAAGCAGGAAAGATCCAAAATTGACACCCTAACATCACAATTAAAAGAACTAGAGAAGCAAGAGCAAACACATTCAAAAGCTAGCAGAAGGCAAGAAATAACTAAAATCAGAGCAGAACTGAAGGAAATAGAGACACAAAAAAACCCTTCAAAAAATTAATGAATCCAGGAGCTGGTTTCTTGAAAGGATCAACAAAATTGATAGACCACTAGCAAGTCTATCAAAGAAAAAAAGAGAGAAGTATCAAATAGACACAATAAAAAATGATAAAGGGGATATCACCACCAATCCCACAGAAATACAATCTACCATCAGAGAATACTACAAACACCTCTACGCAAATAAACTAGAAAATCTAGAAGAAATGGATAAATTCCTCGACACATACACTGTCCCAAGACTAAACCACTAAGAAGTTGAATCTCTGAATAGACCAAAAACAGGAGCTGAATTTGTGGCAATAATCAATAGTTCACCAACGAAAAAGAGTCCAAGACCAGATGGATTCACAGCCAAATTCTACCAGAGGTACAAGGAGGAGCTGGTACCATTCCTTCTGAAACTATTCTAATCAATAGAAAAAGAGGGAATCCTCCCTAACTCATTTTATGAGGCCAGCATCATCCTGATAACAAAGCCAGGAAGAGACACAACAAAAATCAACTCAAAACAGATTAAAAACTTAAAAGTAAAACCTGAAACTATAAAACTACTAGGAGAAAAATGTGGGGGAAAACCTCCATGACATTGGTCTGAGCGATCATTTTTTTGAATACGACCCCAAGAACACAGAGAAAAAAAGCAAAAATAGACAAACGGAATTGCATTAAACAAAAGCTTCTGCACAGCCAAGAAAACAACAGAGTGAAGAGACAACCTACAGAATATATTTGCAAACAATAAATCTGATGAGGTTAATATACAAAATATAAAATAAATTCAAACAAATTAATATTAGAAAGCAAATAAACAATTTTAAAATGGGTAGAGGATCTGAACAGACATTTATCAAAAGAAGATATTCAAATGGCCAGCAGATAAATGATAAAAGGCTCAACATCACTAATCATCAAAAAATGAAAATTAAAACCACAATGAGCTATCACCTCACACTGTTAAAATGACTATTACCAAAAAGACAAAAAATAGCAAGTGTTGCAAGGATGTTTTAAAAAAAGGGGGGGGACCTTACACACAGTTGGTGAGAATGTAAATTAGTTCTGTCCATTATGGACAATAGCATGGATGTTCCTCAAAAAAAATGTTCCTTCGGCTACTATGGGCTAAAGTGTTTTGGGGCCCTAAATACACTTGAAAGGCAGTCTGGACAACAAGGATTGCAATTCCTAGTGCTAAGCTGGGCTCAGAGTCCGTGGACTTAAGGGCACACAAACTAGTAAGACACTTGCCTGGGCTGCTATGAAAATGCTTGTGCCACCTTTTCCCAAAATTCAGGCAGCACAGCTTGTGACTCCAAAAGTGACCCTTCTGTCCACTTTAGGAGAGGAGAGAAAGATAAAGAGGACTTTTGTCTCACATCTTGGATATCACCCAACCACAATAGGATAAGGCATCAATCACAGTAATAAGGACCCCATTCCAGGCCCTAGTTCCCAGGTGACATTTCTAGACATACCCTGGGGCAGGGGGGAACATATTGCCTTGAGGGGAATGACACAGTCCTGGCAGATTAGAGGAAACTCAAAGAAATTCAAGATAATACAGAGAAGGAATTCAGAATTCTATCAGAACATTTAACAAAAATACTGAAATAATTAAAAAGATTCATGGAGAAATCCTGGGGTTGAAAAATACAACTGACATACTGAAGAATGCATTAGAATCTCTAATAGCAGAATTGATAATGCAAAAAAAGAAGTTGTGACATTGGAGACAGGCTATTTGAAAACACAAATAGAAGAGACAAGAATAAAAAAGAATAGAGCATTTCTAAAATATTTAGAAAACAGCCTCAAATGGACAAATTTAATTTACTGGCCTTAAAGAGGAGGTAGAGAAAGATATAGAGGTAAAAGTTTATTCAAAAGGATAATAACAGAGAACTTCCCAAACCTAGAGAAAGATATCAATATCCAAACACAAGAAGGTTATAGAACATCTAGCAGATTTAACTTAAAGGAGACTACCTCAAGACATTTAAACTCAAACTCCCAAAGGTCAAGGATAAAGAAAGGATCCTAAAAGCAGCAAGAAAAAAATAATAAAATAACATAACATAAAATGGAGTTCCAATATATCTGGCAGCAGACTTTTCAGTGGAAACCTTACAGGCCAGGAGACAGTAGCATGATATATGTAAAGTGCTGAAGGGAAAAAAAAAGAACTCTTGCCCTAGAAAGTATATCTGGTGAAAATATCCTTCAAACATGAAGGAGAAGTAAAGAGTTTCCCAGGCAAACAAAAGCTGAGGAATTTCATCAAGACTAGACCTGTCCTGCAAAAAATGCTAAAGGAAGTACTTCAATCAGAAAGAAAAGGACATTAATGAGCAATTAGAAATCTTCTGGAGGGGAAGATAGCAAACAGGAGACAGGGCTAACATCTAGCTCCCACATAGACAAATCAGAGCAGCATGTAGAGATCCATATCATGATCTTTTGCTCCAAGAACCACTGCACGAATATACCAGGAAAGCCAAAAGAATTCACAAATCCTTTGAAACAAGTGGCACACCGCTGCAAATTCCACAAAACAAGCAAAAAACTGTGAGTTCTCAAAGTGTGACAGGGAGAAAACCTACCTCTGAACATGCATCCCCACTGGGGAATCTGAAAATCCAGATCACAGGAGTAGGATTTAACCTTACCTAGATATGAAACGGGTTTAGGGAGTCACAAAAAATATAAAAGTACAAGTAACAGCAGGAAGTGCTCGAATGTACTCCCAGTCTCCAGCTTGAGCCCTGGGACGCCATCCTTGACTATGTCTCACAGGGCCTTTGGGGAAAACAGCCAGTGAAACTGGGGAGGGGTCATGGGGCAAAGAAAGTTCCCAACTGAAATTGGTAGTGGTTTTGTCTGGGCACAAGTTTTCTTGAGCAGGGTCTGAAGGACAAGCAGGAGCTGCTGTGAGCAAGCACAGGAGCACAGGAGCTGCTGCCTACAGAGAGGGCAGATGGGGAGGAATGAGATCAGAAAGCTTGCTTTCTCAGTGGGGTAGCTCATGGCCTGCGGCAAGGTCTGATCAGAGGAGGCACTGCAGGAACCAGACCAGCCTCAGCAAATGCATGGGAGCTAGGTAATGCCTCTTGCTACTGGCTATCTTCCACTTCCCTGGCAAGCTATAAAACACAGCAGAGGCAGCCAAGATCCCCTCTGGAAAATAACCCCATTGGCCTGAGAACAACTCGCCCATCCCAGACAGTGATCATGGCAAGCCCCTCCCAAGGAAAGTCTGGGCCCATGCCTGCCTAATCCTGCACACACCTGGTGGTTTCTCCCTATCCACCCTGGCAGCTGAACACAAAACACAGAAACTCTTGGAAGCTTTATGGTTTCTCATCAATCACCTGAGAAACCAAAATACTTACTCTGGCCATCTTATGGCAAGCTTAGAGCCCCCAACTACTACCACAGCTGGTGCTCTCTTAAAAGCACCACCTCCTGGTTTGATGACAAGCAACTCAGGCCATTACAGCAACTCATGAAAGAATAACCTTGAACCCAAGAAGACAACACCTGTTCCCACTGCTGGCAACATCCTGGCTAACCAGAGGTCCTGAGGATGTCCACATGACAACTTCACTGCTAGCATAACCAGCATTCAAGAAAGCCAGCACACTAAACATATTTACAACAAAAGACTTTCATAGAGTTCATTTCACTTCTCTGCAATCTCTATCAGAGCAGATGCTGGTATCCACAGCTGGGAGACCTGAAGATGGATCACATCACAGAACCCTTTGCAGACAACCCCCAGCACCAGCCCAGAGCCTGGTAGCCCCGATGGATGGCTAAATCCAGAAGAACAATAACAATCACTGCTGTCCAACTCTCAGGAAGCCCCATCCCTAGGGTAAGGGGGAGGGCACTACATCAAGGGGTCACCCCATGGGACAAGAAAATCTGAACAGCAGGCCTTGAGTTTCAGAACTCTCCACAGAAATAGTCATCCAAATGAAAAGGAACCCCCAGAAAATAATTCTGGTAATATGACAAACAGGATTCTATAACAACCCCAAAAGACCAACTCCCTGGCAATGGATCCAAATCAAGAAGAAATCTCTGAATTGCCAGATAAGGAATTCAGAATCTTGATTATCAAGCTACTCAAGGAGATACCAGAGAAAGGTGAAAACCAACTCAAAGAAATTTTTTAAAAATACAAGTTAAGGATGAAAAATTCTCTAGAGAAAGAGATATCATAAAGAAAAAAATCACAACTTCTGGGAACGAAAGACACATTTAGGGAGATACAAAATGCAGTGCTAAGTTTCAACAATAAACTATAACAACTAGAAAAAAGAACTTCAGAGCTTGAAGACAAGGCTTTCAAATTGTGAACCCAGAAAATCTCAGACTGGTCTTAGTTAATTTAGAAAGTTTATTTTGCCATGTGTTTTTTGGCTGCATAAATGTCTTCTTTTGAGAAGTGTCTGTTCATGTCCTTTGCCCACTTTTTGATGGGGTTGTTTGTTTTTTACCTGTAAATTTGTTTGAGTTCATTGTAGATTCTGGATATTAGCCCTTTGTCAGATGAGAAGGTTGCGAAAACTTTCTGGCATTTTGTAGGTTGCATGTTCACTCTGATGGTAGTTTCTTTTGCTGTGCAGAAGCTCTTTAGTTTAATTAGATCCCATTTGTCTATTTTAGCTTTTGTTGCCATTGCTTTTGGTGTTTTAGACATGAAGTCCTTGCCCATGCCTATGTCCTGAATTGTAATGCCTAGGTTTTCTTCTAGGGTTTTTATGGTTTTAGGTCTAACGTTTAAGTCTTTAATCCATCTTGAATTGATTTTTGTATAAGGTGTAAGGAAGAGATCCAGTTTCAGCTTTCTAGATATGGCTACCCAGTTTTCCCAGCACCATTTATTAAATAGGGAATCCTTTCCCCATCGCTTGTTTTTCTCAGGTTTGTCAAAGATCACATAGTTGTAGATATGCAGTGTTATTTCTGAGGGCTCTGTTCTGTTACATTGATCTATATCTCTGTTTTGGTAGCAGTACCATGCTGTTTTGGTTACTGTAGCCTTGTAGTATAGTTTGAAGTCAGGTAGCGTGATGCCTCCAGATTTGTTCTTTTGGCTTAGGATTGACTTGGCAATGCAGGCTCTTCTTTGGTTCCATATGAACTTTAAAGTAGATTTTCCAATTCTGTGAAGAAAGTCATTGGTAGCTTGAAGGGGATGGCATTGAATCTGTAAATTACCTTGGGCAGTATGGCCATTTTCACGATATTGATTCTTCCTACCCATGAGCATGGAATGTTCTTCCATTTGTTTCTATCCTCTTTTATTTCCTTGAGCAGTGGTTTGTAGTTCTCCTTGAAGAGGTCCTTCACATCCCTTGTAAGTTGGATTCCTAGGTATTTTATCCTCTTTGAAGCAATTGTGAATGTGAGTTCACTCATGATTTGGCTCTCTGTTTGTCTGTTGTCGGTGTATAAGAATGCTTGTGATTTTTGTACATTGATTTTGTATCCTGAGACTTTGCTGAAGTTGCTTATCAGCTTAAGGAGATTTTGGGCTGAGACAATGAGGTTTTCTAGATATACAATCATGTCATCTGCGAACAGGGACAATTTGACTTCTTCTTTTCCTAATTGAATACCCTTTATTTCCTTCTCCTGCCTAAATGCCCTGGCCAGAACTTCCAACACTATGTTGAATAGGAGTGGTGAGAGAGGGCATCCCTGTCTTGTGCCAGTTTTCAAAGGGAATGGTTCCAGTTTTTGCCCATTCAGTATGATATTGGCTGTGGGTTTGTCATAGATAGCTCTTATTATTTTGAAATACGTCCCATCAATACCTAATTTATTGAGTTTTTAGCATGAAGGGTTGTTGAATTTTGTCAAAGGCTTTTTCTGCATCTATTGAGATAATCATGAGGTTTTTGTCTTTGGTTCTGTTTATATGCTGGATTACATTTATTGATTTGTGTATATTGAACCAGCCTTGCATCCCAGGGATGAAGCCCACTTGATCATGGTGGATAAGCTTTTTGATGTGCTGCTGGATTCGGTTTGCCAGTATTTTATTGAGGATTTTGGCGTCGATGTTCATCAGGGATATTGGTCTAAAATTCTCTTTTTTGGTTGTGTCTCTGCCCGGTTTTGGTATCAGGATGATACTGGCCTCATAAAATGAGTTAGGGAGGATTCCCTCTTTTTCTATTGATTGGAATAGTTTCAGAAGGAATGGTACCAGTTCCTCCTTATACCTCTGGTAGAATTCTGCTGTGAATCCATCTGGTCTGGGACTCTTTTTCGTTGGTGAACTATTGATTATTGCCACAAATTCAGCTCCTGTTTTTGGTCTATTCAGAGATTCAACTTCTTAGTGGTTTAGTCTTGGGACAGTGTATGTGTCGAGGAATTTATCCATTTCTTCTAGATTTTCTAGTTTATTTGCATAGAGGTGTTTGTAGTATTCTCTGATGGTAGATTGTATTTCTGTGGGATTGGTGGTGATATCCCCTTTATCATTTTTTATTGTGTCTATTTGATACTTCTCTCTTTTTTTCTTTGATAGACTTGCTAGTGGTCTATCAATTTTGTTGATCCTTTCAAGAAACCAGCTCCTGGATTCATTAATTTTTTGAAGGGTTTTTTTGTGTCTCTATTTCCTTCAGTTCTGCTCTGATTTTAGTTATTTCTTGCCTTCTGCTAGCTTTTGAATGTGTTTGCTCTTGCTTCTCTAGTTCTTTTAATTGTGATGTTAGGGTGTCAATTTTGGATCTTTCCTGCTTTCTCTTGTGGGCATTTAGTGCTATAAATTTCCCTCTACACACTGCTTTGAATGTGTCCCAGAGATTCTGGTATGTTGTGTCTTTGTTCTCGTTGGTTTCAAAGAACATCTTTATTTCTGCCTTCATTTCGTTATGTACCCCGTAGCAATTCAGGAGCAGGTTTTTCAGTTTCCATGTAGTTGAGAAGTTTTGAGTGAATTTCTTAATCCTGAGTTCTAGTTTGATTGCACTGTGGTCTGAGAGACAGTTTGTTATAATTTCTATTCTTTTACATTTGCCGAGGAGTGCTTTACTTCCAACTATGTGCTCAATTTGGAATAGCTGTGTTGTGGTACTGAAAAAAATGTATATTCTGTTGATTTGGGGTGGAGAGTTTTGTAGATGTCTATTAGGTCCGCATAGTGCAGAGCTGAGTTCAATTCCTGGGTATCCTTGTTAACTTTCTGTCTCACTGATCTGTCTAATGTTCACAGTGGGGTTTTAAAGTCTCCCATTATTATTGTGTGGGAGTTGAAGTCTCTTTGTAGGTCACTCAGGACTTGCTTTATGAATCTGGGTGCTCCTGTATTGGGTGCATATATATTTAGGATAGTTAGCTCTTCTTGTTTTATTGATCCATTTACCATTATGTAATGGCCTTTGTCTCTTTTGATCTTTGTTTGTTTAAAGTCTGTTTTATCAGAGACTAGGATTGCAACCCCTGACTTTTTTTGTTTTCCATTTGCTTGGTAGATCTTCTTCCATCCCTTTATTTTGAGCCTATGTGTGTCTCTGCACATGAGATGGGTTTCCTGAATACAGCACAGTGATGGGTCTTGACTCTTTATCCAATTTGCCAGTCTGTGTCTTTTAATTGGAGCATTTAGTCCATTTACATTTAAAGTTAATATTGTTATGTGTGAATTTGATCCTGTCATTATGATGTTAGCTGGTTATTTTGCTCGTTAGTTGATGCAGTTTCTTCCTAGCCTTGATGGTCTTTACAATTTGGCATGTTTTTGCAGTGGCTGATACCGGTTGTTCCTTTCCACGTTTAGTGTTTCCTTCAGGAGCTCTTTTAGGGCAGGCCTGGTGGTGACAAAATCTCTCAGCATTTGCTTGTCTTTAAAGTATTTTATTTCTCCTTCACTTATGAAGCTTAGTTTGGCTGGATATGAAATTCTGGGTTGAAAATTCTTTTCTTTAAGAATGTTGAATATTGGCCCCCACTCTCTTCTGGCGTGTAGAGTTTCTGCCGAGACATCTGCTGTTAGTATGATGGGCTTCCCTTTGTGGGTAAACTAACCTTTCTCTCTGGCTGCCCTTAACATTTTTTCCTTCATTTCAAGTTTGGTGAATCTGACAATTATGTTTCTTGGAGTTGCTCTTCTCGAGGAGTATCTTTGTGGCATTCTCTGTATTTCCTGAATCTGAATGTTGGCCTGCCTTGCTAGATTGGGGAAGTTCTCCTGGATAATATCCTGCAGAGTGTTTTCCAACTTGCTTCCATTCTCCCTGTCACTTTCAGGTGCACCAATCAGAGGTAGATTTGGTCTTTTCACATAGTCCCATATTTCTTGGAGACTTTGCTCGTTTCTTTTTATTCTTTTTTCTCTAAACTTCCCTTCTCACTTCATTTCATTCATTTCATCTTCCATCACTGATACTCCTTCTTCCAGTTGATTGCATCAGCTCCTGAGGCTTCTGCATTCTTCATGTAGTTCTTGAGCCTTGGCTTTCAGGTCCATCAGCTCCTTTAAGCACTTCTCTGCATTGGTTATTCTAGTTATCCATTCGTCTAATTTTTTTTCAAAGTTTTTAACTCCTTTGCCATTGGTGTGAATTTCCTCCTGTAGCTCGGAATAGTTTGATCATCTGAAGCCTTCTCTCAACTCGTCAAAGTCATTCTCCCTCCAGCTTTGTTCCGTTGCTGGTGAGGAACTGCATTCCTTTGGAGGAGGACAGACACTCTGCTTTTTAGAGTTTCCAGTTTTTCTGCTCTGTGTTTTCCCCATCTTTGTGGTTTTATCTACTTTTGGTCTTTGATGCTGGTGATGTACAGATGGATTTTTGGTGTGGATGTCCTTCCTGTTTGTTAGTTTTCCTTCTAACAGACAGAACCCTCAGCTGCAGGTCTGTTGGAGTTTGCTAGAGGTCCACACCAGACCCTGTTTGCCTGGGTATCAGCAGCAGTGGCTGCAGAACAGCAGATTACCATGAACCACAAATGCTGTTGCCTGATCGGTCCGCTGGAAGTTTTGTCTCAGAGGAGTACCCAGCTGTGTGAGGTGTCAGCCTGCCCCTACTGGGGGGTGCCTCCCAGTTAGGCTGCTCAGGGGTCAGGGACCCACTTGAGGAGGCAGTCTGCCTGTTCTGAGATCTCAAGCTGTGTGCTGGGAGAACCACTACTCTCTTCAAAGCTGTCAGACAGGGACATTTAAGTCTGCCGAGGTTACTGCTGTCTTTTTGTTTGTCTGTGCCCTGCCCCCAGAGGTGGAGCCTACAGAGGCAGGAAGCCCTCCTTGAGCTGTGGTGGGCTCCACTCAGTTCGAGCTTCCCACCTGCTTTGTTTACCTAAGCAAGCCTGGGCAATGGCGGGCGCCCCTCCCCCAGCCTCGCTGCCACCTTGCAGTTTGATCTCAGACTGCTGTGCTAGCAATCAGTGACACTCCGCTGGCATAGGACCCTCCGAGCCATGTGCGGGATATAATCTCCTTGTGTGCCGTTTTTTAAGCCCATTGGAAAAGTGCAGTATTGGGGTGGGAGTGACCCAATTTTCCAGGTGCCGTCTGTCACCCCTTTCTTTGATGAGGAAAGGGAACTCCCTGACCCCTTCCACTTCCCAAGTGAGGCAATGCCTCACCCTGCTTCGGCTCACACACACACGGTGCACTGCACCCCTGTCCTGCACCCACTGTCTGGCACTCCCTAGTGAGATGAACCCGGTACCTCAGCTGGAAATGCAGAAATCACCTTTCTTCTGCATTGCTTATGCTGGGAGTTGTAGACCGGAGCTGTTCCTATTTGGCCATCTTAGCTCCACCCCTCTGGTTGCTGTTATTTTCTTCTGAAGTTTAAGTTGTCTGGCTTCAGTTTGCAGGGTTTTTAGGAAAGCATGGCTTAGTTTTCAGTGACTCCAATTTAGGAAAAATGGAACAAAAAGAAGGAAAAAAATGAAAATTTTATTTTAAAGACCCATAGCCAAGAAAAATTAGAATTCAGTTCAAACATAGAAAATAATAAGAATTGGAGTAAAAAAAAAAAAGTTAGGCAAGACAAATCATGATAGGACTAGTTCGCTTATTATATTTGACCTAATTATTTGTATACAGTGCAGCAAGAATAATTGTTTTTTACCCAGGCTTTTCAATTGGCTATCATGGAACCTTGTTCCATAGGAGGAATCTCAGATAAGACATTTTTAAAGCTGAGCCCAGCCATGGATTTATGCCATCAAATACCTATGAGTTGGGTGAATTTCCTCTCCTCCTTTCGTCCTTAACTTGTATCCTCCAAGAAACAAGGGCTTCTACACCTGTAAGAAAGTGACATTCTTTACTTACCACAGGTCAGAAACCCTGTACCAGGACTGTGTACACATAATATGAGGCAGTCATGAGCCTTTTATAACCATTATTAAGCTGTTGGTTAATACTTCAAGAACACCTTGTTAATCTGACACAAGGATCCATACATTGGTTTTGCATCAGTGTGCCTTTGATATTAATGATAAATCTATAGAGAAACTAAACTGCTTTTATCTTTCAAAATTGGCCCTAACAGCCTTACATGCCCACCTCTTCCATGACAGTCCCTGGGCCTTGAGGAGTTGAATAGCTTTAATTTCTTGCCCTGTGTCTCAGGAATGCAGTTTTTTTTTATTGGCATCTTCTACAGAACCCTAAGATGGGACTTTAGTTGCTGTCAGTATTTAAGATTTAGCAGGACTTGGTGTCCTTTTTAGACCCAGGAGTTAAAGCTTTGTAACTCAATGTCACAAGGACTTTAAAAGCACATGAAGCAAGATATATGGATGAAATAACCTTAATTTTAAAAAATTTTTTGTTTCAGTTTCTTTTCCTAGGCAAGCCAAAGCTTAATGATAATATGACAACTGGATTACATAAAAGGTTTCGGGTTTTTTAAACATAAATACTCTTCTTGTGACTTACACTGAGCATACCTGACATGCTCAGACTTTCTGGTTTCTCCCCAACATCCCTCCTTTTTAAGCAATCAGTTATTTTATTTTAGGACTACATTTACCATATAAGATTCCTTCTTATATATTATTTCCCGTTAAGCCTTTTTACCTCAAAAAATACCTTTTTATTTTTATAACTTTATTTACATCTTTTTTAATGTCCTGGTTGTTTTTACCTTGTTTTACACATAATTCTTTTTTTAATTTTATTATTATTATACCTTAAGTTTTAGGGTACATGTGCACAACATGCAGGTTTGTTACATATATATACATGTGCCATGTTGGTGTGCGGCACCCATTAACTCGTCATTTATATTTCCTAATGCTATCCCTCCCCCAACCCCACAACAGTCCCCAGTGTGCGATGTTCCCCTTCCTGTGTCCACGTGTTCTCATTGTTCAATTCCCACCTATGAGTGAGAACATGTGGTGTTTGGTTTTTTGTCCTTGTGATAGTTTGCTGAGAATGATAGTTTCCAGCTTCGTCCATGTCCCTACAAAGGACAGGAACTCATCATTTTTTATGTCTGCATAGTATTATATGGTGTATATGGGCCACATTTTCTTAATACAGTCTATCATTGCTCAACATTTGGGTTGGTTCCAAGTCTTTGCTATTGTGAATAGTGCTACAATAAACATATGTGTGCATGTGTCTTTATAGAAGCATGATTTATAATCCTATGGGTATATACCCAGTAATGGGATGACTGGGTCAAATGATATGTTTACTTCTAGATCCCTGAGGAATCTCCACACTGACTTCCACAATCATTTAACTAGTTTACAGTCCCACCAACAGTGTAAAAGTGTTCCTATTTTTCCACATCTTCTCCAACACCTGTTGTTTCCTGATTTTTCAATGATTGCCATTCTTACTGGTGTAAGATGGTATCTAATTGTGGTTTTGATTTGCATTTCTCTGATGGCCAGCGATGACAAGGATTTTTTCATGTGTTTTTTGGCTGCATAAATTTCTTCTTTTGAGAAGTGTCTGTTCATATCCTTCACTCACTTTTTTTAAGAAACTGCATAAACTAATGAACAAATTATCCAGCTAACATCATAATGACAGGAACAAATTCACACAAAACAATATTAACCTCAAGTGTAAATGGGCTAAATGCTCCAATTAAAAGACACAGACTGGCAAATTGGATACAGAGTCAAGACCCATCACTGTGCTGTATTCAGGAAACCCATCTCACGTGTAGAGACACACATAGGCTCAAAATAAAGGGATGGAGGAAGATCTACCAAGCAAATGGAAAACAAAAAAAGTCAGGGGTTGCAATCCTAGTCTCTGATAAAATAGACTTTAAACCAACAAAGATCAAAAGAGACAAAGGCCATTACATAATGGTAAATGGATCAATTCAACAAGAAGAGCTAACTATCCTAAATATATATGCACCCAATACAGGAGCACCCAGATTCATAAAGCAAGTCCTGAGTGACCTACAAAGAGACTTCAACTCCCACACAATAATGGTGGGAGATTTTAACACCCCACTGTCAACATTAGACAGATCAACAAGACAGAAAGTTAACAAGGATATGGAGGAATTGAATTCAGCTCTGCTCCAAGTGGACCTAATAGATGTCTACAGATCTCTCCACCCCAAGTCAACAGAATATACATTCTTCTCAGCACCACACCATGCCTATTCCAAAATTGACCATATAGTCGGAAGTAAAGCACTCCTCAGCAAATGTAAAAGAATAGAAATTATAACAAACTGTCTCTCAGACCACAGTGCAATCAAACTAGAACTCAGGATTAAGAAACTCACTCAAAACTTCTCAACTACATGGAAACTGAAAAACCTGCTCCTGAATGACTACTGGGTACATAACGAAAAGAAGGCAGAAATAAAGATGTTCTTTGAAACCAATGAAAACAAAGACACAACATACCAGAATCTCTGGGACACATTCAAAGCAGTGTGTAGAGGGAAATTTATAGCACTAAATGCCCACAAGAGAAAGCAGGAAAGATCCAAAATTGACACCCTAACATCACAATTAAAAGAACTAGAGAAGCAAGAGCAAACACATTCAAAAGCTAGCAGAAGGCAAGAAATAACTAAGATCAGAGCAGAACTGAAGGAAATAGAGACACAAAAAACCCTTCAAAAAATCAATGAATCCATGAGTGGTTTCTTCAAAAGATCAACAAAATTGATAGACTGCCAGCAAGACTAATAAAGAAGAAAAGAGAAAAGAATCAAATAGATGCAATAAAAAATGATAAAGGGGATATCACCACTGATCCCACAGAAATACAAACTACATCAGAGAATACTATAAACACCTCTACACAAATAAACTAGAAAATCTAGAAGAAATGGATAAATTCCTCAACACATATTCCTCCCAAGTCTAAACAAGGAAAAGTTGAATATCTGAATAAAACAATAACAGACTCTGAAATTGAGGCATAATTAATAGCTGACCAACCAAAAAAATTCAAGGACCAGATGGATTCACAGCTGAATTCTACCAGAGGTACAAGGAAGAGCTGGTACCATTCCTTCTGAAACTATTCCAATCAATAGAAAAAGAGGGAGTCCTCCCTAACTCATTTTATGAGGCCAACATCATCCTGATACCACAGCCTGGCAGAGACACAACCAAAAAAGAGAATTTTAGACCAATATCCATGATGAACATTGATGCAAAAATCCTCAATAAGATACTGGCAAACCGAATCCAGCAGCACACCAAAAGCTTATCCACCATGATCAAGTGGGTTTCATCCCCAGGATGCAAGGCTGGTTCAACATATGAAAATCAATAAACATGTTCCAGCATATAAACAGAACCAAAGACAAAAACCACATGATTATCTCAATAGATGCAGAAAAGGCCTTTGACAAAATTCAACAACATTCATGCTAAAAACTCTCAATAAATTAAGTACTGATGGGAAGTATCTCAAAATAATAAGAGCTATCTATGACAAACCCACAGCCAATATCATATTGAATGGGCAAATACTGGAAGCATTCCTTTTGAAAACTGGCACAAGACAGGGATGCCGTCTCTCACCACTCCTATTCAACATAGTGTTGGAAGTTCTGGCCAGGGTAATCAGGCAGGAGAAGGAAATAAAGTGTACACAATTAGGAAAAGAGGAAGTCAAATTGTCCCTGTTTGCAGATGACATGATTGTATATCTAGAAAACTCCATTGTCTCAGCGCAAAATCTTCTTAAGCTGATAAGCAACTTCAGCAAAGTCTCAGGATACAAAATCAATGTGCAAAAATCACAAGCATTCTTATACACCAATAAGAGACAAACAGAGAACAAAATCATGATTGAACTCCCACTCACAATTGTTTCAAAGAGAATAAAATACCTAGGAATCCAACTTACAAGGGATGTGAAGGACCTCTTCAAGGAGAACTACAAACCACTGCTCAAGGAAATAAAAGAGGATAGAAACAAATGGAAGAACATTCCACGCTCATGGGTAGGAAGAATCAATATCGTGAAAATGGCCATACTGCCCAAGGTAATTTATAGATTCAATGCCATCCCCATCAAGCTACCAATGACTTTCTTCACAGAATTGGAAAAAACTACTTTAAAGTTCATATGGAACCAAAAAAGAGCCTGCATTGCCAAGTCAATCCTAAGCCAAAAGAACAAATCTGGAGGCATCAGGCTACCTGACTTCAAACTATACTACAAGGCTACAGTAACCAAAAGAGCATGGTACTGGTACCAAAACAGAGATATAGACCAATGGAACAGAACAGAGCCCTCAGAAATAATGCTGCTTATCTACAGCTATCTGATCTTTGACAAACCTGAGAAAAACAAGCGATGGGGAAAGGATTCCCTATTTAATAAATGGTGCTGGGAAAACTGGCTAGCCATAAGTAGAGAGCTGAAACTGGATCCCTTCCTTACACCTTATACAAAAATTAATTCAAGATGGATTAAAGATTTAAATGTTAGACCTAAAACCATAAAAACCCTAGAAGAAAACCTAGGCAATACCATTCAGGACATAGGCATGGGCAAGGACTTCATGTCTAAAACACCAAAAGCAATGGCAACAAAAGCCAAAATAGACAAATGGGATCTAATTAAACTAAAGAGCTTCTGCACAGCAAACGAAACTACCATCAGAGTGAACAGGCAACCTACAGAATGGGAGAAAAATTTTGCAACCTACTCATCTGACAAAGGGCTAATATCCAGAATCTACAATGAACTCAAACAAATTTACAAGAAAAAAACAACCCCATCAAAAAGTGGACAAAGGAAGTGAACAGACACTTCTCAAAAGAGGACATTTATGCAGCCAAAAGACACATGAAAAAATGCTCATCATCACTGGCCATCAGAGAAATGTAAATCAAAACCACAATGAGATACCATCTCACACCAGTTAGAATGGTGATCATTAAAAAGTCAGGAAACAACAGATGCTGGAGAGGATGTATACATATAGAAATACTTTTACATTGTTGGTAGGATGGTAAACTAGTTTAACTATTGTGGAAGTCAGCGTGGCGATTCCTCAGGGATCTAGAACTAGAAATACCATTTGACCCAGCAATCCCATTACTGGGTATATACCCAAAGGATTATAAATCATGCTGCTATAAAGACACATGCACATGTATGTTTTTTGTGGCACTATTCACAATAGCAAAGACTTGGAACCAACCCAAATGTCCAACAATGATAGATTGGATTAAGAAAATGTGGCCCATATACACCATGGAATACTATGCAGCCATAAAAAATGATGAGTTCATGTCCTTTATAGGGACTTGGATGAAGCTGGAAACCATCATTCTCAGCATACTATCACAAGGACAAAAAACCAAACACTGCATGTTCTCGCTCATTGGTGGGAATTGAACAATGAGAATGCATGGACACGGGAAGGAGAACATCACACACTGTGGCCTGTTGTGGGGTGGGGGGAGTGAGGCGGGATAGCATTAGGAGATATACCTAATGTTAAATGACGAGTTAATGGGTGCAGCACATCAATATGGCACATGTATACATACGTAACAAACATGCACGTTGTGCACATGTACCCTAAAACTGAAAGAATAATAAAATAAAAAATAAAAATAACCTCAGGCCAATATCCCTGGTGAACATGGATTGAAAATCCTCAATAAAATACTGGCAAACTAAATCCAGCAGCACATCAGAACACTTATCCACCATGAACAAGTTGGCTTCATTCCTGGGATGCAAGGCTCATTCAACATATGCAAGTCAATAAACATAATCCATTACAGAAACAGAACTAATGACAAAAACCACATAATTATATCAATAGATGTGAGAAAGCCCTTTGATAAAATTCAACATCCCTTTATGTTAAAAACTCTCAATAAACTAGGTATTGTTGGAATATATCGCAAAATAATAAGAGCTATTTATGACAAACCCATAGCCAATATCATATTGAATAGGCCAAAACTGGAAGCATTCCCTTTGAAAAGCAGCACAATACAAGGATGCCCTCTCTCACCACTCCTGTGTGACATAGTGTTGGAAGTTCTGGCCAGCACAATCAGGCAGGAGAAATAAATAAAGTGTATTCAAATACGAAGACAGGAAGTCAAATTGCCTCTGCTTGCAGATGACATGATTCTGTATTTAGAAAACCCCATCATCTCAGCCCAAAAACTCTTTAAGCTGATAAGTAACTTCAGCAAAGTCTCAGGATACAAAATCAATGTTCGAAAATCACAAGCATTACTATAAACCAATAATGGACAAGCAGAGAGCCAAATCATGTGTGAACTCCCATTCACAATTGCTGCAAAGAGAATTAAAAACCTAGGAATACAGATAACAAGGGGCATGAAGAACCTCTTCAAGGAGAACTACAAACCACTGCCCAGGAAAATAAGAGAGGACACAACAAATGGAAAAACATTTATTCTCACGGATAGAAAGAATCAATATTGTGAAAATGGCCATACTGCCCAAAGTAATTTATAGATTCAATGCTATTTCCATCAAACTACCATTGACACTTTTCACAGAATTAGAAAAAACTAAATTTCATATGGAACCAAAAAAGAGCCCATATAGCCAAGATGTTCCTAAGAAAAAAGAACAAAGCTGGAGGCATCACAGTACCTGACTTCCAACTATACTACAAGGCTACAGTAACAAAAACAGCATGATACTGGTACCAAAACAGACACATAGAGCAATGAAACAGAACAGAGACCTCAGAAATAACACTACATGCGATCCTCAACAAACATGGCAAAAACAAGCAATTTGGAAAAGATTCTCTATTTAATAAATGGTGCTGGGAAAACTGGCTAGCCATATGAAGAAAACTGAAACTGGACCCCTTCCTTACACCTTATACAAAAATTAACTAAAGATGGATTAAAGACTTAAATGTAAAACCCCAAATCATAAAAACCCTAGAAGAAAACCTAGGCAATACCATTCAGGACATACGCATGGGCAAAAACTTCATGACTAAAACACCAAAAGCATTTGCAACAAAAGCAAAAATTGACAAAATGGATCAATTAAACTAAAGAACTCCTCCAAAGGGGAAAAAAACTAGCATCAGAGTGAACAGACAACCTACAGAATGGGAGAAAAATTTTGCAATTTACCCATCTGACAAAGGGCTAATATCCAGAATATATGAGGAAATTAAACAAATTTACAAGAAAAAAATAAACAAGCCCCTCAAAAAGTGGGCAAAGGATATGAATAGATGCCTCTCAAAAGAAGACATTTATGTGGCCAACAAACATGAAAAATAGCTCAACATCTCTGATCATTAGAGAAATGCAAATCAAAACCACAATGAGATACCATTTCACACCAGTCAGAATGGCAATTATTAAAAAGGCAAGAACCAATAGATGCTGGTGAGGCTGCGGAGAAATAGGAACACTTTTACACTGTTGGTGAGAATGTAAATTAGTTCAACCATTGTGGAAGACAGTGTGGTGATTTCTCAAGGATCTAGAACCAGAAATACCAGTTGACCCAGCAATCCAATTCCTGGGTATATACCCAAAGGAATATAAATCATTCTACTGTAAAGACACATGCACACATATTTATTGCAGCACTATTTAGAATAGCAAAGACATGGAACCAACCCAAATGCCTATCAGTTATAGACTGTATAAAGAAAATGTGGTACCTATACCCCAGCAAATACTATGCAGCCATAAAAAAGAAGTTTATGTCCTTTGCAGGGACATGGATGAAGCTGGAAGCCATCATCCTCAGCAAACTAATACAGGAACAGAAAACCAAACACCACAGATTCTCATTCATAAATGGGAGTTGAACAATGAGAGCACATGGACTCTGGGAGGGGAATGACACACACTGTGGCCTATCAGGGGTTGGGGGGAAGGGGAGGGAAAGCATTAGAACAAACACCTAATGCAGGTGAGGCTTAAGACCTAGATGACAAGTTGATAGGTACAGCAAACCACCATGGCACAAGTGTAACTATATAACAAACTTGCATGTTCTACACATGTATTTTGAAACCTAAAGTAAAATAAAAATAAAATAAAATAAAATAAATGCTAAAAGGAGTTATAAATCTTGAAACAAAACCTTGAAATACACCAAAATAGAGACCCCTTAAATTACAACTCTCAGAGTCTACAAAACAATAGCACAATGGAAAGAAAAAAAGTATTAAGGCAACAACAACTAAAATGATGAACAGAACAGTACCTCACATCTCAATAGTAACATTGAATGTACATGGCCTAAATGCTCCACTTAAAATATACAGAATGACAGAATGGATAAAAATCCAGCAACCAAGTATTTGCTGTCTTCAAGAGACTCGCCTAACCTATAAGAATTCACATAAACTTAAGATGAACAGGAGGGGGTTCAACCCAAGTGGAAACCAAAAACAAGTTCAACACAAGTGGAAACCAAAAGCAAGTGGAGTAGCTATGCTTAAATCAGGCAAAATAGAGTTTAAAGCAATAACAGTTTAAAAACACAAAAAAATCATTATTATATAATGATAAAAGGTATAGTCCAATAGGAAAATTCTAAATATATATGCACCTAACACTGGAGCTCTCAAATTTATAAAACAATTACTACTTGGCCTAAGAAGTGAGATAGATGGCAACACAATAATAGCAAAGGACTTCAATACTCCACTGACAGCACTAGAAAGGTTACCAAGACATAAAGTCAACAAAGAAACAACGGACTTAAACTATGGCTTGAAACAAATGGACTTAACAGATATTTACAGCACATTCTGCCCAACAACTGCAGAATATACATTCTTTGCATCAGCACATGGAACATTCTCCAATATAGACCATATGATAGGCCACTAAAACAAGTCTCTATCAATTTAAGAAAATCAAAATTATATCAAGTATCCAAGACCACAGTGAAATAAAACTGGAAATTTACTCCAAAAGAAACATCAAAAGCTATACAAATACATGGAAATTAAAATATCTGCTCTTGAATGATCATTGGGTCAACAATGAAATCAAGATCAAAATTTTAAAATTCTTTGAGCTGAATGATAATAGTGACACAACTTACCAAAACCTCTGGGATACAGCAAAAGCAGTGCTAAGAGGAAAGTTCATAGCATTAAATGCCTATATCAAAAAGTCTGAAAGAGCACAAATAGACATACCTCAAGGATCTACAGTCACACCTCAAGAAACTAGAGAAAAAAGAACAAACCAAACCAAAACCCAGCAGAAGAAAAGATATAACAAAGATCAGAGCACAACTAAATGAAATTGAAACCAAAAAATAATAATTCAAAAGATAAATGAAATAAGCTTATTTTTTGAAAAGATAAACAAAACTGATAGACCATTAGTGGGAATAACCAAGAAAAGAAGAGGAAAAAATCCAAATAAGCTCAATTAGAAATAAAACAGGAGATATTACAACTGATACCACAGAAATACTAAAGATCATTCAAGGCTACTATGAACACCTTTACTCACACAAACTAGAAAACCTAGAGGAGATGGATTAATTCAAGGAAATATATAACCCTCCCAAATTAAATCAGAAGGAAATAGAAAACTCTGAACACATCAATAACAAGCAGCAATATTAACAGTAGTAAAACAAAAGCCAACAAAAAAAGTCCAAGACCAGATGAATTCACAGATGAATTCTATCAGACATTTAAAGAACAATTGGTACCAACTTTAATACTATTCCAAAAGACAGAGAGAGGGAAATCTCCCTAAATCATTCTATGAAGCCAATATCAACCTAATTCCAAAATTAGGAAAGGACATAATGGAAAAAAAAATAAAGACCAATATCCCTGATTAACATAAATGCAAAAATCCTCAACAAAATACTAGCTAACCAAATCCAACAACATATCAAAAAGATAATACACCATGATCAAGTGAGTTTCATAACTGGTATGCACGAATGATTTAACATGCACAAGTCAGTAAATGTGATACATCACATAAACAAAATTAAACACAGAAATCGTATGATCATCTCAATAGATGGAGAAAAAAGCATTTGACAAAATCCAGCATCCCTTTATGATTAAAACCCTCAGCAAAATCAGCATAGAAGGGACATACCTCAGGGTAATAAAAGCCATCTATGACTAACCCACAGCCCACATTATACTGAATGGGGAAAAGTTGAAAGTATTCCCCTGAGAACTGGAACAAAGCAAGGATGCCCACTTACACCACTTTTATTCAACATAGTACTGGAACTCCTAGCCACAGCAATCAGACTAGAGAAAGAAATGAAAGGCATCCAAATCAGTAAAGAGGTTGTCAAACTGTTGCTGTTCACCAATGATATGATTGTATACTTAAAAAACCCTGAAGATTCAACCAAACACTCCTAGATTTGACAAATGAGTTCAGTAAAGTTTCAGCATACAAAATCAATGTACATAAATCAGTAGCACTGCTATACACCTACAATGACAAAGCTGAGAAACAAATGAAGAACTCAATCTTTTTTAACAACAGCTGCAAAAAATAAAATAATATAAAATACTTAGGAATATACCTTACCAAGGACATGAAAGACCTCTACAAGGAAAACTACAAGACACGGCTGAAAGAAATCAATGATACAAATGGGAACACATCCCTTCCTTACGGATGGGTAGAATGAATATAGTGAAAATGACCATACGGCCAAAACCGATCTACAGATTCAATGCAATTCCTATCAAAGTATTTATTATCATTTTTCACAGAACTACAAAAAAAATTCTAAAATTCATATGGAACTGAAAAGACCCCACATAGTCAAAGCAAGACAAAGCAAAAGGGACAAATCTGGAGGCATCACATTACCTAATTTCAAACTATACTACAAGGCTATAGTTACCAAAGCAGCATGGTGCTGGTATAAAAATAGTCATGTAGACCAATGGAACAGAATAGAGAACCAAGAAATAAAGCCAAATACTTGCCACCAACTGATCTTCACCAAAGCAAACAAAAACATAAAGTGGGGAAAGGACACCCTATTCAACAAATGGTGCTGAGATAACTGGCAAGCCACATGTAGAAGAATATAACTGGATCCTCATCTGTGACCTTACACAAAAATCAACTCAAGATGGATCAGAGACTTAAATCTAAGGCCTAAAACCATAAAAAATTCTAGAAGATAACATCAGTAAAACTCTTCTAGATGTAGGCTTAGGCAAAGAGTTCACGACCAAGAACCCAAAAGCAAATGCAACAAAAACAAAAATAAGTAGATGGGACTTAATTCAACTAAAAAGCTTCTGCACAGCAGAAGAAATAATCCACAGAGTAAACAGACAACCCATAGAATGGGAAAAAATATTTGTAAACTTTGCATCTGACAAAGGGCTAATATCCAGAATCTGCGAGACACTCAAATCAGCAAGAAAAAGCAAATAATCCAATCAATAAGTGGGCTAAGGACATGAATGGATAATTCTCAAATGAAGATATGCAAATGGCCAATAAACATGAAAATATGCTCAATATCATTAATTATCAGGGAAATGCAAATCAAAATGATAATGCAATACCACTTTACTCCTGCAAGAATGCCCTTAATCAAAAAATTTAAAATAATAGATGTTGGTGTGGATGTGGTGAAAAGGGAACAATTTTACACTGCTGGTGATAATGTAAACTAGTACAACCGCTACATAAAACAGTATGGAGACTCCCTAAAGAACTAAAAGTAGAACTACTATTGACCCAGCAATCCCACTACTGGGTATTTACCTAGAGAAAGTTATTAAATGAAAGACACTTGCACATGCATATTTATAGCATCACAATTCACAATTGCAAAAATATGGATCAAGCCCAAATGCCCATCAATCAATGAGTGGATAAAGAAAATATGTCATATATACATCATGGAATACTACCCACCCATAAAGAGGATTAAATAATGGCATTTGAAACAGCCTGGATGGAGTTGGAGACCATTATTCTAAGTGAAGTAACTCAGAAGTGAAAAATCAAATATCATAGGTTCTCACTTGTAAGTGGGAGCTCAGTTATGAGGACACAAAGGCATAAGAATGATGTAATGGACTTTGGGAATGCAGGGGAAAGATGGTGGGGTGAGTGATAAAAAACTACACATTGGGTACAGTGTACACTGCTTGGATGATGGATGCACTAAAATCTCAGAAATTACCACTAAAATAACTTATCCATGTAACAAAAAACCACATGTTCCTCAAAAACTATTGAAATAAATTAATTAATTTTTAAAAAGAAATCATCTGAATGTTAAAAACTCACTGATAATAGTAAGTACACAGAATATTATATTAAATAACACTGTGACTGTGGTGTTGTGTAAACTATCTTCTTTTTTTTTTTTTTTTTTTTGAGATGGAGTCTCGCTCTGTCACCAGGCTGGAGTGCAGTGGCACAGTCTCAGCTCACTGCAACCTCCGACTCCCTGGTTCAAGCAATTCTCCTGCCCCAGCCTCCTGAGTAACTGGGATTATAGGCATGTGCCACCACACCCAGCTAATTTTTGTATTTTTAGTACAGACAGGGTTTCACCATGTTGGCCAGGATGGTCTCGATCTTCTGACCTCATGATCCACCCACCTCAGCCTCCCAAAGTGCTGGGATTACAGGTGTGAGCCACTGTGCCCAGCTGTAAATTATCTTAAGTAAGTAGGAAGGCTAAAATGTGAACCAATCAAAAATAAGAACTACAACTTTCAAGGCACAGTCAGTACAAAAAGATATAAATAAAAATGACAAAAAGTTAAAAAGTAAGGAACAAAGTTAATGTTTAGTGTTTTTATTAGTACTCTTTTTGCTTGTTTGTTTGTTTGTTCAGACAAGCAGTGGTAAGTTGTTTTCGCTTAAAAAATGGTTATAAGATAGCCTTATAATAACCTAAAAACTAAAAACATACAACATATACACACAAAACCAATAGCAAGAAATTAAATCATACCACCAGAAAATATCACCTATCAATAATGACATTGAATGTAAATATACTAAAATCTCCAATCAAAAGACATAGAGTGGCTGAATGGATAAATAACAGGACCCAATGATCTACTACCTACAAGAAACACACTTCACCTATAAAGACACACATGGACTGAAAATGAATGAATGGAAAAAGATATTCCATGACAATAAAAAACAAAAAAGAGCAGGAGTAGCTATACTTGTATCAGATAAAATAGATTTCAAGACAAAACTATAAGAAGAGACAATGAAGTTCATTTTATAATGACAAAAAAGTCAGTTTAGCAAAGGAATGTAACAATTGTAAATATATATGCACCCAACACTGGAGCAGCCACATATATAAAGCAAATATTATTAGAGCTGAAAAGAGCAAGCGACCCAATACTGTAATAGCTGGAGACTTCAATAACCCTACTTTGAGCATTGGACAGGTTTTCCAGACAGAAAAATCAACAAAGAAACATCAGACTTAATCTGCACCATAGAACTAATAGAAATAGACCTAACAGATATTTACAGAACATTTAATCCAGTGGCTGTAGAATAAACATACTTTTCCTTAGCACATGGATCATTCTCAAGGATATGTTAGGTCACAAAACAAATCTGAAAACATCAAAAAAATTGAAATAATATTCAGCATTTAGACTAAAACTAGAAATAAATAGTAAGAGGAATGTTGGAAACTATACAAACACATGAGAATTAAACATATGCTCCTGAATGACCAGTGGGTCAATAAAGAAAATAAGAGTAAAATTGAAAAATTCCTTGAAACAAATGATAATGTAAACATGACATACCAAAACCTATGGGATATAGCAAAAGCAGTACTAACAGGGAAGTTTATAGCTATAAGTACCTATATCAAAAAAGAAGAAAATTTTCAAACAAACAACCTAACAATGCATCTTAAAGAACTAGAAAATCAAGAGCAAACAAACTCAAAATTAGTAGAAGAGAAACAATAATCAGAGCAAAGATAAATGAAAATGAAATAAAAAAATACAAAAGATCAATGAAACAAAAAGCTAATTTTTTGAAAAGATAAACAAAACTGACAAACATTTAGTCAGAATAACTAAGAAAAAAAGAGTAAAGACCTGAATAAATAAAATCAGAGATTAAAAAGGAGATATTACAACTGATACCGCAGAAATTCAAAGGATCATTAGTGGCTACCATGAGCAACTACATGCAAATAAATTAGACATTTTAGCAAAAATGGATAAATTCCTAGACACATATAATCTACCAAGATTGATCCATGGAGAAATCAAAAACCTAAACAGACTGATAACAAATAACAAGATTGAAGCCATCATTTAAAAATCTCCCAGCGAAGAAAAGCCTGGGACCCCATGGCTTCACTGCTGAATTCTACCAAACATTTAACCCATTTCCCATTTAGAAAATAAAAGTGCAGCTCTTTGCCAGCACACTATTCTCAAGGCAAACAGGAAATAGGTTAAAGAAGAACTAATACCAATTCTATTCAAACTACTCTGGAAAATAGAGGAGGGGAGAATACTTCTGAATTCATTCTACAAGGCTAGTATTACCCTGATACCAAAACCAGACAAAGACACATCATTAAAAGAAAACTACCAGCTAATATCATTGATGAATATTGATGCAAATATCCTCAACAAAATACTGGCAAACTGAATTCAACAATACGTTTAGAAGATCATTTATCATGATCAAGTGGGATTTATCCCAGGGATGCAAGTTTGGGTTAACACACAAAAATCAATTAATGTGATACATCATATGAACAGAATGAAGGATATTATTTGATCATTTCAACTGAAGCTGAAAAAGCATTTGATAAAGCTCAACATCTCTTCATCATAAAAACCTTCAAAAAACTGGGTATGGAAGGAACATACTTCAATATAACAAAAGCCATATATGACAGACCCATATGTAATATTGTACTGAATGAGGAAAAACTGAAAGCCTTTCGTCTAAGATCTGCAATACAATAACGATGCCCACTTTCACCACAGTCATTCAACATAGTACTGGAAGTTTGAGCTAGAGCAATCAGACCAAATAAATAAAGGGCCTCCATATTGGAAAGGAAGGGGTCAAATTACACTTATTTGCAGATATAATCTTGTATTTGGAAAAAACTAAAGACTCCAGCAAAAAACTATTAGAAATGATAAACAAATTCAATAAAGTTGCAGGATACAATATCAACATACAAAAGTCAGTATGCCAACAGCAAACAGTCTGAAAAAGAAATCAAGAAAATAATCCCATTTACAATAACTACAAATAAAATTAAATACTTAGGAATTAACATCACCAAAGAAGTGAAAGGTCTCTACAATTAAAACTATAAAACATTGATTCAAGACATTGAAGAGGATACAGAAAATATAGGAATATATTCCATTTTTGTGGATTAGAAGAATCAATATTGTTAAAATGTTTATACTACCCATAACAATCTACAAATTCAATACAATCTCTATCAAAATACCAATGACATGTTTCACATAAATAGAAAAAACAACTCTAAAATTTATATGGAATCACAAAAGACCCAGAATAGCCAAAGCTATCTTGGGAAAAAGAACAAAACTGGAGGAATTGCATTACCTCACTTCAAATTATACTACAGAGCTATAGTAACCAAAATGGCATGCTGCTGGCATAAAAACCAATGCACAGACCAGTGGATCAGAATAGAGAACCAGGAAATAAACCCATACATCTAGAGTGAATTGATTTTTTACAATGGTGCCAAGAACATACATTGGGGAAAGGACAGTTTCTTCAATAAATGGTGCTTGGAAAACTGGATATTCATGTGCAGAAAGAATAAAACTAGACTCCTATCTCTCACCATATACAAAAATCAAATCAAAGAAGATCAAAGGCCTAAACCTAAGACCTCAAACTATAAAAACTACTACAAGAAGCATTGGGAAAACTCCAGGACATTGGACTGGGCAAAGATTTCTTGAGTAACACCCCATAAGCACAGGCAACCAAAGCAAAAATGGACAAATAAAATCACATCAAGTTAAAAAGCTTCTGCACTGTGAAGGAAACAATCAACAAAGTTAAGAGACAACCCACAGAATGGGAGAAAATATTTGCAAACTCTCTATCTGACAAAGGATTAATAACCAGAATATATAAGTAGCTCAAACAACTCTGTAGGAAAAAATTTAATAACCTGATTTTAAAATGGGCAAAAGACATGTCTAAAAAAAGACATGCAAATGGCAAACAGATATATGAAAAGGTGCTCAACTTTATTGATCACCAGAGAAATGCATATAAAAACTACAATGAGATATTATCTTACCCCAGTTTAAATGGCTTATATCCAAAAGACAGGCAGTAACAAATGCTGGCAAGGATATGGAGAAAAGGGAACTCTTGTAGACTCTTGGTGGGAATGTAAATTAGTATAACTACTATGAAAAACAGTTTTGAGCCTCCTTCAAAAACTAAAAATAGAGCTACCATGTGATCCATCAATTTCACTCCTAGGTATACAATCAGAAGAACGGAACTCAGCATATCAAATAGTTAGCTGTGCTCCCATGTTTATTGCACACTATTCACAATAGCCACCATTTGGAAACAAATTAAGTGTCCACCAACAGAAAAATGGATAAAGACAATGTGATATATACACCCAATGAAGTACTATCCAGCCATAAAAAGAATTAGATCCTGTCATTTGCAACAACATGGATGGAACTGGAGAACATTATATTAAGTGAAATAGGCCAGGCACAGAAAGACAAACTTCGTATATTTTCACTTATATGTGGGAGCTAAAAATTAAAACAATTGAACTGATTGAGATTCAATGAAAGTAGAGCATAGAATGATGGTTACCAGAGGCTAAGAAGAGTAGTGGAGATTGGCAAGGAAGCTGCCAACCATGTAAAGCTACTTACTTGCTTTCTAGTTATTCTTAAATTCATCAAATACTGATTCATGGTGAATGAGTGCCAAAAAAAATCGAATAAACAAGACCTAGTATTTTCTAGCACAACAGGATGACTATAGTCAAAAATAATTTATTGTACATATTAAAATAACTAAAAGAGTGTAAGTGGATTGTTTGTAACACAAAGGATAAATGCTTAAGGTGATGGATACCCCATTTACCCTGATGTGATTATTACACATTGCATGTCTGCATCAAAATATCTCATGTAACCCATAAATAGATACACTAAATATGTACCCACTAAAATTAAAAATAAAAAATGAATTAATAGAACTACCATATGATCCAGTAATTCCACTACTGGATGTATATACAAAAGATAAGAAATCAGTATGCCAAAGAGGTATCTGCACTTCTATATTCATTGCAGCATTTTTCACAATAGCCAGGATACAGATGCAACCTAAATGCCCATCAATGAATGAATGGATAAAGGAAATGTGGTATATATACACAATAAAATACCATTCCACCTTTATAAAAAAGGAAATCCTGTCATTTACAACAACATGGATGAATCTGGAGAGTACTGTGGTAAGCCAAGCACAGAAAGACAAATACAGCATGATCCCACTTATATGTGGAATCTTAAAAAATTGAACTTATGGAAACAGAGTAAAATGTTGGTTAGCAGAATCTGAGTTACAAATTTTGAATCAAGTATATACATAGTTTTATATTCAGACTTTTTCCCTTAACACTTTAAGCATTTCCACAGATGATATTCTTCAAAAGATGTTTTTAATGGTGCATTATTAAAAAGTCCCATAATTTATTTAACTATTTATCTGTATATGAGCTTTTGAGTGACTCTCAATTTTAGACTATAGTAAATGCCCTCACTGTGTAGCTCTCTGGTAGTTTTTCCTAAGATTGATTCCTTAAATTGGGAAGGTTGAGGTGGAGGGCATGAACTTTATTAGGATCCAGATAGAATCTCAATACAATGTAAAAACAATGTCATTTGCTATTCTGGGAATTAAAGAAGACACTAATAAAACAATGATCATTAGCTCCCAACTCAGACTACCCTTCTTGGGCCTAAAGGTCTTCCAGCACCTTCAACTGCTCCTTCAGGGACTCATTTCTATCCATTTCCTTTTCTCATACTCTCCAAAATCCTCACGTTATCCTTAAACCATAAACTTCCCCTTGAACCTTGTAGTCTGTGAATACCTGAACAAGACTGAGTATAGCACAAAAAAAGATTTCCCACTTCTTATACCTCAGGCTGCCACCATCATTGTGGAGATGGTGTGGGTCAGGCACTGTTCATGAGCTTAACCCACTATCCTAGTTCACACTTATCACAATTCTTAAAGATAACTAACAACATCCTCACTATACAAATGAAGAGAAGGAAACTCCAGAAGTTTAGCTTTAAATGACTTGCTCTAGGTGAGACATAGCAAGTACCATATAATAGGAATTGAAAGCAAATCTGCCTGATTCCAAAACCAATGCTTATTTGCTACAACCTTCTGGTGTGAGACCCTTCTACTCTCTCCAGTCTCACACCACTGAAAAACTTTAGAGACATGAACATTGGACTTGACTTTACACAAACAAGTCAGCATCAACAAAAAGATGAAGGTTAGACTAAGTGCTGTGATTCTAAGCTGGAAAAATAGAAATATCCCCCCCAAAATCAATTTCACTGATATTGATGACTTTAATGATGAATTAGTATTTGATGAATTTAAGAATAGCTAGGAAGCAAGTAAGTTGCTTTACATCTTTACTAATTCCCTTCACTACTTTTCCTGGGAACTGGTAGGGGATTGAGATTCACATTACACTGAATTTGTCCTCTCCCCAGTTTTCAAATACATTGTTTTGAAATACAAAAGAAATTTGTAATGCAATTTAGAAACATTTCTACCTTAAAAGATTAAAATGTAAAAAGTCTTCTAAATGCCTTTTAAGCTTCAAGTATTCAAAGAACTCATTTACATGAAAAAGCTCCTTGCTGGGTGGGTCTGGGCTTTGGAGAAAGTGTTCTAAGACTACACCTCAAAGAAAATACACTCTCAATTGCTCTAATTTGCAAAAAGTTAATGTGCCATCAGGGACCACATGCCAGGGCAGCCCATTCCTTGGTCTGTAAACTCTGACCCCTCTACTCTAAGTACACATCCTTCGCTGCAGTCCTATGCCTTCAGCAGCTCCCAGTCATGGTCTGGGCATCCATCTAGCAAGCCTCTAAAGAATAAATACATGTGAAACTACTTTCTGAGCTTTAACCTGACCATGAGTAGAAAGACCAGTAACCACAGCAGCGTAATATTTGCTTGTACTTATTGAACACTTACTGTGTGCCTGGACTTGTGCAGACCACTTTAAATGCCTCATCTCACTTAATCCACTCAACATCACTTCGAGGAAGCTACTATGATTGTTTCTATTTTTCAGATGAGGGACGTAAGGATTCAAATGACTGAGTGACTGGGTCAAATTCACACAGTGGTAAGGGTTAGAGCAGGAAATGTAACCCAGTGTCCAGGGCGTTAATGCTATCCTCTTAGTCGCCATACAATACTCCTGACCAAGGAAGTGGGACCACCTGATCACCAAGAGGCCATGTTCTCAGCAACTAATGAGTAATGGTTAAGAAAATGGTTAAGGAGAAGAATTCTAGTGATACCTTGGCAATCTGAAGAAAAAAAAATCAAATCAGATGTCAAACCCCCAAGCAGGATCTTGAGGAATACTCAAATACTGTGCAGCAGGACTTCCATGTGGGCACTGAGAACAGAACAGGGACAGAGCAAAGCAAGTGAAGACATCTGTTTTCTACAAGGTTCCCTGGTCAGTTCAGGTTTATTCTAGATAGAGTCCCCAAAAGACCAAGCCTACATGAGAACTGACCTTAGTGAGCTCCACCCTCCTCCAGTGAGCAACCAAAGTCAAGAAGCCTGACAAGATAACTAGAGAGTTGCAGTGAATTGTTAAGCACAAGGGGTTCAAGGAAGCTCATGTGGTATCACCCCAGCCAAAGCCATCACTAAATTTGAGTGCCACTGCTTTAAGAGTTATAGCACATTCATTTTTAGTAAAAGTACCTTGAGGCTTGCTAATGAGACTCCAGGGGCATTGCATTCCAATTAGAGGAGTGGGCCATGGAGACACCATACCCCCTTATCACATTTACTTAGTGGTTCAGACTAACTTTGGAAGCTATGAAAGCCACTGTTTTTATTTTTGTCTTAGACTCCTGTACTCAGTCATCACAAACTCATTTATTCTACATGTAGTTATTAAGCAACTACAATACATAGGGCATGGTTTTGTGCCATCTATTTGGGGAAATAAGCTGGTACTAAACATGAAGTCATCTGGGTTTTCTTGTGAGTAGCAGGGACAAGTTTGAACTAAACTAGCCCCTTGACTACCACCTTATGTTTACATAGCATTTTGAAGTGTTTTCACCCTGTGAGTTAGATAAGACATACAAGGAGTGATATAACATGGTGCTTAAAAGCATGGACCAGGGAGTCAACCTGCCTTGTTTAATGGCTGACTCTCCTATTTGCTAGATATATAACCTGCAAGAGTGACTTAACTTCCCTTGATGTCATTTCTTCATCTGCAATTTTTTCTTTCTCAGGTTTAAAGAAATCAATAAACAATTCTACAGTCATAATTGGAGAAATTAATTCTGTCAGAAGCATTTGAACCAGAGTGACTCCATCTTCAATAGGGGCTGAGTAAAATGAGGCTGAGACCTACTGGGTTGCACTCCCAGGAGGTTAGGCACTCTAAGGCACAGGATGACATAGCAGATCAGCACAAGATACAGGTCATAAAGACCTTATTAACAAAATGGGTGGCGATAAAGAAGCCCTCCAAATTCCACCAAAACCAAGATGGCAATTAAAGTGACCTCTGATCATCCTCACTGCTCATTATATGCTAATTATAATGTATTAGCATGCTAAAAGACACTCCCACAAGTGCCATGACCATTTACAAATGCCGTGGCAATGAGTAAGTTACCCTGTATGGTCTAAAAGAGGAGGAGCCCTCAGTTCCAGGAAATGCCCACCCCTTTCCCAGAAAACTCATGAACAATCCACACCTTGTTTAGCATATAAACAAGAAATAACTATAAGTGTCCTTAGTCCAGCAGCCCAAGCTGCTGTTCTGCCTATGGAGTAGCCATTCGTTATTCCTTTACTTTTAAAGCTTGATTTCACTTTGCTTTATGGAATGGCCCCAAATTCTTTCTTGCACAAGATCCAAGAACCCTCTCTTGGGGTCCAGAATGGGATCCCTTTGCAGTAACAACTCCACTGCCTCAGGAAGTGGTAGTATGATGAGACGAAGAAAATCTGTAGAAACATAAAAGATCTGAGCAATATATGACCCACCCTAACCTAATTGATATGTATAGAACACTATACCCTACAACTGAAAAATACACATTCTTTTCCAGCACATGTTGTACATTCACTAAGATAGACCTTAGGTTGGGCTATGAAACAGGTTTTAACAAATGTAAAAGGAATGGCATTATTCAGAATGCTCTCTAACCACAGTGGAATTAAACTAGGATTAAATAACAATAAGATATCAAGGAAAAATCCCAAATAATTGAAAATTAAACAACATAGTTCTAAATAATCCATTGGTTAAAGGAGAAATAATTAAAAATGAGATTATATTTTAAATTGAATGATAAAAATACTTGTGAAATTTTGTGGGATGCAGCTAAAGTATTGCTTTTTAGAGTTTATAGTTTTAAATTCTCTTTTAATTATTATTTTTTATTTTTGTGGGTACATAGTAGATAGAAATATTTATGGGGTACATGAGATGTTTTGATTCAGGCATGCACAGTGAAATAAGCACATCATGGAGAATGGGATACCCGTCCCCTCAAGCATTTGTCCTTTGAGTTACAAACAATCCAATTACACTCTTTATTTTAAAATATACAATTAAGTTATTATTGACTATAGTAACCCCATTGTGCTATCAAATAGTAGGTCTCATTTATTCTACTTTTTTTCCCCATTGACCATCCCCACCTCCCCCTCACTCTCCCACTACCCTTTCCAGCCTCTGGTAACCATCCTTCTACTCTCTATGTCCATGAGTTCAATTGTTTTGATTTTTAGATCCCACAAATAATCATAACATGTGATGTCTGTCTTTCCATGTCTGGATTATTTCACTTAACATAATGATCTCCAGTTCCATCCTAGTTTTAAATTCTTATATTTGAAAGGAAGTGAGGTCTAAAATCAATGAGCTAAGTTTTTACCTGACTCCTCATACAATCTAGAAGGAAGGATATAGGAAAGTTAACAGATATTAATCAGAGAAAACAAAAACAGAAAAATTTTAGAGGAAGTGAAACAATGGTCTATTGAAAATATTAACAAAACAAATGAAAAAGAAAAAATTTTTAATACTGGGAAGGCAAAAGGATATCACTACATTTCTGCGGAAAATAAAGGATAAAGAGAGAATATTACAAACAACTTAAGTTTATAATATGAATGTCATTTGATGACCTAAAGTCACCAAATTCATATCTTGAAAAGGATTTATAGGATTTTTTTATAGAATAAAAGATTTAAAACGCAAATGACTTTCAGGTGCACTAAAGATTCTAAAAGAATTTCCTACCATTTAAAAGGAAGGTGTGGGCTAGACTCCCTGATGGTGCAAATGTGGGATGATTAAAAAAAGAGCATGAATTCCAGAATCAGACCATGTGAATTCAAATCCTCACTCTACCTACTCTGTGATTTTAGACAACATTTTTTTAGTAAATTCTCCATGTAAAATAGGGGCAATAACACCCCCTCCAATACCTACCTGTCATGATGCCCTACATACGATAGCTGCAACTATGTCAGCTCTAACCGTGTATATGATTACCAAAGTAGGTTTTCACCCATGAGAAAGCCACTGTTTCCAGAAGATATACCCAGTGATAACTACTTATAATATTCATTTCATCTCAACACCTATCTTTTTAGACTTTTCTGAGAGAAGCCGTATCTCCATCTATCTAAGATACTTCTGCTTCCCAGGAATATCAATTGATATGGATGTGAGCAAAGATTAGAAATGAGAGAAACAGGAAAGTGTCTCTGGAGATCACTTTCCATACTGGTAAAAAGCCTGGGCAGCTAGAATTCTCAGAATAATGTAGGAATAATATAACTTCCAGGCCAGGCACAGTGGCTCACGCCTGTGATCCCAGCACTTTGGGAATCTGGGTGGATCACTTGAGCTCAGGAGTTCTAGACCAGCTTGGCCAACATGGTGAAACCCTGTCTCTACCAAACTTACAAAAATTAGCCAGGCGCGGTGGTGTACCTCCGTAGTCCCAGCTACTTGGGAGGCTGCAGCACAACAATCGCTTGAATCTGGGAGGCAAAGGTTACAGTGAGCCAAGATCATGCCACTGCACTCCAGCCTGGGCGACAGGGCAAGACTCTGTCTCAAAAATAAAATAAAATAAAATAAAATAAAATAAAATAAAATAAAATAAGTTGTGGTGGCTCACGCCTGTAATCCCAGCAATTTGGGAGGCCAAGGTGAGTGGATCACATGAGGTCAGGAGTTCGAGACCAGCCTGGCCAACATGGTGAAACCCCATCTCTACTAAAAATACAAAATTAGCCGGGCATGGTGGCGCACCCCTGTAATCCCACCTACTCAGTAGGCTGAGGCAGGAGAATCACTTGAACCTGGGAGGTGGAGGTTGCAGTAAGCCGAGATCCTACCACTGCATTCCAGCCTGGGGACAAGAGCAAAATCTCTGTCTCGAAAAATAAAATAAAATAAAATAAATAATAAATAATAATAATATAATTTCCACTCAAGTTTTCTTGACATTACATATAGATAAAGCGCAGAACTTTTAGTTCTTTGCAAATCACAAATTTTTCAAAAATATATATATGAAAACTCTAAATGCTATGAGTCTCATGGCAAAGAGATTCAGTCTGCAAACATAATGGAAAATGCAATTTGGGTGTGGCATCACCCCAAGAAGTGAGGCCATTTCAGAGCTGGCTGGGTCAGCGTATCATGTTCAAGGGCATTCACCTGCATTGGATATGCTGCATTTTCTGAGGCATGCCTTAACTGTCATTGAGGAGGTTCTTGCCTGACTCTCTGGCACTGGAACTTTGGAAGAAGGCTTGATTCTGCTTCCCTTTTTGGAAATAGAGGTCATTTCCTAACGTCTGCCCCTCTATAACCAACCCACAGAAGACTTGGCTATGACCAATCAAAATTAAAAGTATAAGCATGCTATGTTATAGTGATTTTTAAGCTTTTTTAAGGTTTTGAGTATTTTTTATCAAAGTAAATCTTATATAAAACAGATTTTTTTAAGGTAATCAGCTGCTGATTACCCATTCATATGTCTCCTGTCCTTTCCTGCTCTGCTTTTACCCCAGTCCCTCAGATACCTGCAGAATTCTGGACACTGAATCCTACATAGTTCACAAACAACTGGTGTAGAAGAAACATTGAGGGTTTAGAAACAGTCCTTGACCTGCAGTTTCCCCACCTGCAAAATGAATCGCACCACCAATGGGACAGCGCAGTCCTGATAATTAAATGTTAGGAAACTTAATTGGCGGATGCATAATTCATATTAATCTTTTGCCTCTTATTTCCCATTTTCTGATTTCTATGATATTCTGAAGAATGCTGCCTTTCCAGCATTATGTCACTAGAAAAAAAAGCAATCTTGGCTGTGTGTGGTGTCTCACACCTGTAATCCCATCACTTTGGAAGGCCAAGGTGGGTGGATCACCTGGCATCAGGATTTCAAGACCAGCCTGGCTAACATAGTGAAACCCCGTTTCTACTAAAAATACAAAAAAATTAGCTGGGCATGGTGGTGCGCACCTGTAATCCCAGCTACTCAGGAGGCTGAGGCAGGAGAATCGCTTGAACCCCAGAGGCAGAGGTTGCAGTGAGCCAAGATCGTGCCATTGCACTCCAGTTTGAACAATAAGAATGAAACTCTGTCTCAAAAAAAAAAAAAAAAAAAACTTGTCTTGGCCAGCTCATTGAGTTTTGATGTCAGGCCTTAGGCCACTCTTCACCCAAAAAATCTGTAGAAACATAAAATTACCTGAGCAACATATGACCCACCCTAACCCAGTCAATGCCCAGGTTTTTTCCTCCTGAGGACCAAGGAGCCTCACCTGCAGAAGCATCATAGCCCCTGCTTTCCTTCCCTCTACTTCCAGATCCAGTATCCTGGCCACTGGATCTCTGTGGACCCAGAAATACCTGTGAACACCCAAAAAGCATTTCAGGTTTATATTTTTTAAAACACTTTTTATTTAATCTGAAGTAATTCCAGAGGGAATTACCTGACAATAGGATATTCTCAGCCCTCAGATTTGAAATTCAGAGACTTACATATACTTATGTGTGGTGACATTTAAAGAGAAGCAGAGAAGAGCATGGGCTGAGAAATCAGACACAGCTAGGTTTGAATTCAGGCTTCATGGGTTACTAACCGGTGACCTTGATCAAGACACCTGCCTCCCCAATCTCCAATCTCTTCTTCTGTACTCATACCCACTTCACCAGTGTGTTTTAGAATCAAGTTAGATAAATCATTAAATCTCTTAGTTCATTGTAAAAAATACAAATACATATATGCTCCTTATTTATATATAAATGATATTCTCAGAAACAATATCAGGAAGGATTACTGGTTTGTCTTGAGTGATGTGACTGATATATTACTTAGATTATTTACATGAAATGAGAGATATAACAACCATTGTCCACCTACAATCTGAAGTGCTAATGACATCCAGAAATTTAATTGACCAAATATTTATTGTTTTGCTATTTAGAGATACACAGATGAATAAAATTCAAGCCACATTCTCAAAGGAGTCACAGTCTACTGGGGAGAAATAAACTTTGAAATAAAGGTAGTAACAGCCCTAAAGGATTCCCACTGAGTGCTGTGAGAATTCAAAGAAAGAAAATGACATACCCAGATAAGATAAACATGGGGGCTTCCTAAAGATAGGAGAATTTCAGATGGGCCATGGAGGGTAGGTAGGATGTTAATAGGTAGAGATAAGGAAAATATTATAGGTGGAGGGCACAAGGAGATGTTCAGAAAACAGTATGCTCTAATAGTGTAATTGAAAAATGAAAATCTAACATTATGAGAAGGTCATGACTTGAGGGTATTTCATATCAAGTAGGAATTTATAGTTGATTCAGAAGGCAATGGGGAGTCATTGAAGATTTTTGAGGAGGAGAGTGATGAAATCAGAGAACTGCTTGAAGGTGATGAGTCTGAAAGCATGTGGAAGAAAATTTATCTGATGGCAGTGAGGGGCAGGATTAGGGTTAGGGTTCTGGGCACATTCTTATAGTCTGGTGGCTACTGGAATAAGACTCAAAGAAGAAGGTTAAAATATGGGACAGCAGTGCCTTCAATTTGCTTAAAATTTCCCTGTTGTTCTTTTGGATTCTTGAGAACCCTGAGTCTAATGCTAGCATGAGCTCATGTGAATCTCTTGACAAGAGTCAACGTCTTCCATTCTCAGGACTAACCCTTCTCAGTCAGCTTGCCTGCTTAAAACCCTCTCAGCAAAACCTCAGTATGTCAAGTCAAGAGACTTTCCAATCATGCAAATGTTCAAACTGATAGGACATAATGACCAGTGCTCCCTGAAACAGTCATTCTCAATCCTCACCTCCCTCTTCACCATTCCCAGACTGACCTGGTTTTCTGGAAGAGTTTATTCTCTTTAGACCAACCAATATATCTCAAAGCCACTGTCAGATTTGGAAGCACAGCACTAGAAGACCCCTCTTACTCCATCCTAGAGCTCCCTTTAATCTTGTCCAATCCCATAAGATGAGGAAACTGAAACTTCAAAAAAGGTGACTGGCCCAAGGCCACTCACTCCATTGGGCAAGGTAGATGCAGAGTGAGATCTTACATGCCCCAATTTCCCATCCCTTACTCCTCCTATTTTCCCTAACTAAATCATCTACTTCTCTTCTCAAATTACTTTTCCCCCAATAAATCTCCTCATGGCATTTTTCACTTCAGCATTCCTGAAGGAGTAAATCACAGGGTTTAAGAGAGGTGTGACCACTGTATAAAATACAGCAACTATCTTGTCTGCAGGGAGGGTGACACAGGGCCTAATATAGACCAAGGAGCAAGGTATGAAGAACAGGTCGACAACTGTGACATGAGAGGCACAGGTGGAGAGGGCCTTGTGCTGCCCCTCCAAGTTGTGGCTTCTCAGGAAGTGCAGGATGATCAGGTAGGAAGCCATCAGCACGAAGAAACTGACTACGGAGATGGAGCCGCCATTGGTGATGATCAGCAGGCTAATGAAGAAGGTGTCTGCGCAGGCCAGCTCCAGCACTGGGTGGACATCACAGAAGTAGTGGTCCATGATGTTGGGGCCACAGAACGGGAGCTGGAAAATCAGGAAGGTTTGCCCAACAGAATGCAGCAGGCCCCCGCCCCATGCTATCCTCACGAGGAGACCACACATTCGCTGGTTCATGATGGCCATGTAGTGCAAGGGCTTGCAGATGGCCACATAGCGGTCATAGGCCATCACCATCAGGAGAAAGGCCTCAGTGCCACCAAAGAAATGGAGGGAAAACATCTGTGTGAGGCAGCCCTTGAGAGAAATGACTTTCCTCTTGATAAAGGAGTCAAAGATAAGCTTGGGGGCCATGACAGAACAGTAGCAGATCTCCACAAAGGATAAGTAGCTGAGAAAGAAATACATGGGGGAGGTGAGCACTTTGCTGGCCAGGATGGTCACCACAATGAGGCCATTGCCCAGCACAACAGCTGTGTACATGAGGAGAAACATCACAGAAATGACCCTCTGCTCACTCCAATTCTGGGAAAATCCCACGAAAATTATTTCAGTCACATTGTTTGTAGCAACCATATTTTAAAGCACAGGAGCTGACAGCCTGGAATCACAGAAATCAAAGAACTCTCCTCAATCATTAGAAACATCCTTCCCAGGCCTGAGGACTATCATCATCCTGCTCCCTCTTGAGTTTGTTCTCTCCCTTGGTTTTCCCCAAAACATGTTCTGAGACAAGTGAACAAAACAGCAAATATCAGCTGCTTGATGTTATTCCCAACATAAGCCTCGATTTTGTAGTGTTGCGGCCTTGAAGTGTTTTTGCTGATCTAGCACATGCTGATTGAATGCTCACAAGAAAAATCAGAGGACATTTTATAGATAAGAAAAAAACTGAGACTCAGAGAGGTCCAGCCACTTGCCCAAAGCCACACAGCTCTTATTTGAGCCCAGATCTGTGTTTCTCAAAATGTACATGCTTCCACTACATCTCCTATGCCTAAAGAGTGCCTGATGTCTACATCTGCTTGTGCAGACTTGTCATGTCCCAGGGTTCTGATTAAAGGGTCCCAGGGTTAAGCACATCAACAAGCCCTCAGAACAGTCAGCTACATTATAAAATGGGACTGAATATGCTAAGTGACATACTAAGTCACAGAAATAAAAATATTGTGTAAGTCCACTTATACAGCACCTAGAGTACCTAGAATAGTCAAATTCATAGAGACAGAAAGTAGAATGGTGGCCGCCAGGGACTGCAGGGGGAGGAAGAATATGGAGTTAGTGTTTCATGGTAGTTTCAGTTTGGGGCAATGAAAGGTGTTCTAGAGATGAAAGGTGGTGATGGCTGCACAATTATGTGAATGTATTTTAATGTTACTCAGCTATACACTTAAAAATTGTTAAGATGGTAAATCCTGTTGTGTATTTTACCCCAATTTAACTAACTAATTATTGAAATGCCTTCTGACTTGTTACTGCCTCATAAATTTCCCCTTCTCCATACCTTCCTCCAAGAACAGTGGTTGAGGCTTTGTGATTTTCCTTTCCTCTTCTCAGTTTCTTTCTTATGCCTATTAGGGAACCTGGTTAGCTTCACAGATTTGAGGTTGGGGTTGAGAAATGTTAGCACTCGGTGTAGAAAACTCATTCCACGTGATAGTATAAGGCAAGATTGATATGATGAACCACTATAAGGTACTCTGCAGAAGTGAGTGATGTGGTAGAAGCATGTACATCTCGAAAATACAGACCTTGGTCCAAAGAAGAGTTGTGTGGCCTGGGACAAGTGATGAAACCTCTCTGAGCCTCAGTTTCCTGATCTATAAAACAGCCATAATGCCATCCCCTCGTTGTTGTGCCCTCCCTTTAGCTCCCCACCATGCTCCTCTGTGTACCCAGCTGATCCTTCTGCCATATACCAATCTTTCACACACAGGATGTTTATGCAGAAGGCAGGAATCTTACATGGGGAGGTTTCATCCTCACGGAAACAATGACTCTATCACTAGGTGAGTATTTTCTGTGAAATTTAGCTTGAAAGCAAATGTTCTATAATTACTTCTGGTTTGGAGTGTCAATGAGAGGTCCCCTCAAAGGATTTGTAAGGACCACTTTAGTCTTCTGATTTTAAAAGATTCATTGTTGTATTTTTAGTCCAAGCGTATTGAAGGTTAACAGAACAAGATGTATTTACAATATAATCATCAAATTGTCTCAAAAAGCTACAAATTGAGTGGATTTAGAGTAGAATTTTTAAAAGGAAATTAACATGTATTAAGCCTCTGCACGGAAAAGAAATACCTTTGAGAGATAATTTCATAAAGAGGTCAATAGATGTGTAAACCACTGACAGTGTTAGTGACATTTTGCCTGCGATGTCTAAAATACTTTAATACTGACTTTGTAATTGGCAGGGCCAAAAGAAGAGAACCTGAAACATAAATCTGTGTTCTAATCAGACAGCACATTAAATGGACATTTCCGGGGTTCACAGTTAAGGAAACCTAAAATGGGGATGCACACAGAATCTCAAAGAAGGCCTAACCTCAGTAAACAACTTCTGTGAAAATTTCTAAATATTTAAAATGAAACCAGTCCCTACTTTGTGGTTTCTTATTTCACTTTTCCTGTCATAGAACCTCATGTACTATGAGGTTTTGAAAAATAAGATTGGTCAGACTGGTCTTTTCGAACATTCTTCTCTCCAAAGATATCCTATCACAGAGAAGTCAGATGCAGAGGCCTCTCTCCTTCCTAGTTTCCTATACAGAGTAATCATAAGCTGTCAAATTTGTAAGGGGGCTCATGGATTCTTCATGTCACAGAAGAGGAATCTGGGGCCCAAAGTCACATACAGCTGGTTGGTGCAGAGCCTGAACTAGAACTAGGTGTCTCAGCTTCCCATTCAATGCTTGCTTTATAGATCATCAAATCCATTGAGTCTTCCACCTGGTGCTCACCCAAATCCAGCTTCCAGAATGCAGCAATAACAGGGACAGGGAAGAGAATTGTGTTTACAACAAAGGCCAAGCCAAGTGGAAGAGTAAAATCTTTTCTTTTCATTATTATACTTTAAGTTTTAGGGTACATGTGCACAACTTGCAGGTTTGTTACATATGTATACCTGTGCCATGTTGGTGTGCTGCACCCATTAACTCATCATTTAACATTAGGTATAACGCTGTCCCTCCCCTCTCCTCCCACCCCACAACAGGTCCCAGTGTGTGATGTTCCCCTTCCTGTGTCCATGTGTTCTCATTGCTCAATTCCCACCTATGAGTGAGAACATGCGGTGTTTGGTTTTTTGTCCTTGCAATAGTTTACTGAGAATGATGGTTTCCAGCTTCATCCATGTTCCTACAAAGGACATGAACTCATCATTTTTTATGGCTGCATAGTATTCCATGGTCTATATGTGCCACATTTTCTTAATCCAGTCTATCATTATTGGACATTTGGGTTGGTTCCAAGTCTTTGCTATTGTGAATAGTGCCTCAATAAACATACGTGTGCATGTGTCTTTATAGCAGCATGATTTATAATCCTTTGGGTACATACCCAGTAATGGGATGGCTGGGTCAAATGGTATTTCTAGTTCTAGATCCCTGAGGAATCGCCACACTGACTTCCACAAGGGTTGAACTAGTTTACAGTCCCACCAACTGTGTAAAAGTGTTCCTATTTCTCCACATCCTCTCCAGCACCTGTTTTTTCCTGACTTTTTAATGATTGCCATTCTAACTGGTGTGAGATGGTATCTCATTGTGGTTTTCATTTGCATTTCTCTGATGGCCAGTGATGATGAGCATTTTTTCATGTGTCTTTTGGCTGCATAAATGTCTTCTTTTGAGAAGTGTCTGTTCATATCCTTCACCCACTTTTTGATGGGGTTGTTTGATTTTTTCTTGTAAATTTGTTTGAGTTCATTGTAGATTCTGGATATTAGCCCTTTATCAGATGAGTAGGTTGCAAAAATTTTCTCCCGTTTTGTAGGTTGCCTGTTCACTCTGATGCTAGTTTCTTTTGCTGTGCAGAAGCTCTTTAGTTTAATTAGATCCCATTTGTCAATTTTAGCTTTTGTTGCCATTGCTTTTGGTGTTTTAGACATGAAGTCCTTGCCCATGCCTATGTTCTGAATGGTATTGCCTAGGTTTTCTTCTAGGGTTTTGATGGTTTTAGGTCTAACATGTAAGTCTTTAATCCATCTTGAATTAATTTTTGTATAAGGTGTAAGGAAGGGATCCAGTTTCAGCTTTCTACTTATGGCTAGCCAGTTTTCCCAACACCATTTATTAAATAGGGAATCCTTTCCCCATTGCTGGTTTTTCTCAGGTTTGTCAAAGATCAGATAGTTGTAGATAAGCAGCATTATTTCTGAGGGCTCTGTTCTGTTCCATTGATCTATATCTCTGTTTTGGTACAAGTACCATGCTGTTTTGGTTACTGTAGCCTTGTAGTATAGTTTGAAGTCAGGTAGCATGATGCCTCCAGCTTTGTTCTTTTGGCTTAGGATTGACTCAGCAATGTGGGCTCTCTTTTGGTTCCATATGAGCTTTAAAGCAGTTTTTTCCAATTCTGTGAAGAAAGTCATTGGTAGCTTGATGGGGATGGCATTGAATCTATAAATTACCTTGGGCAGTATGGCCATTTTCACGATATTGATTCTTCCTACCCATGAGCATGGAATGTTCTTCCATTTGTTTCTAACCTCTTTTATTTCCTTGAGCAGTGGTTTGTAGTTCTCCTTGAAGAGGTCCTTCACATCCCTTGTAAGTTGTATTCCTAGGTATTTTATTCTCTTTGAAGCAATTGTGAGTGGGAGTTCAATCATGATTTGGTTCTCTCTTTGTCTCTTATTGGTGTATAAGAATGCTTGTGATTTTGGCACATTGATTTTGTATCCTGAGACTTTGCTGAAGTTGCTTGTCAGCTTAAGAAGATTTTGCGCTGAGACAATGGAGTTTTCTAGATATACAATCATGTCATCTGCAAACAGGGACAATTTGACTTCTTCTTTTCCTAATTGAATACCCTTTATTTCCTTCTCCTGCCTGATTGCCCTGGCCAGAACTTCTAACACTATGTTGAATAGGAGTGGTGAGAGACGGCATCCCTGTCTTGTGCCAGTTTTCAAAGGGAATGCTTCTAGTTTTTGCCCATTCAGTATGATATTGGCTGTGGGTTTGTCATAGATAGCTCCTATTATTTTGAGATACGTCCCATCAATACCTAATTTATGAGTAAAATCTTTTAAAAAAACAAAAGGCAGGAAGAAAGTAAATTTACAAAAATGTGATCCTCATTATTCAGCTCCTGCTTATAAGTGAGAACATGTAGTGTTTGCTTTTCTGTTCCTGTGTTAGTTTGCTGAGGATAATGGCTTCCAGCTCCATCCACATCCCTGCAAAGAACATGATCTCATTCCTTTTCATGGCTGCATAGTATTCCATGGTGTGTATGTACCACATTTTCTTTATCCAGTCTATTATTGATGGGCATTGGGCATTTGGGTTGATTCCATGTCTTTGCTATTGTGAATAGTGCTGCAATGAACATATGTGTGCATGTATCTTTATAATATAATGATTTCTATTCATTTGGGTATATACCCAGTAATGTGATTGCTGGGTCAAAAGGTATTTCTGGTTCTAGGTCTTTGAGGTGTTAATAGGTGCAGCAAACCACAATGGTACATATTTACCTTTGTAATAAACCTGCACATCCTGTACATGTATCCCAAAACTTAAAATTAAATTAAATTAAATTTTTAAAAATAAAAATAAAACTTTTAGGAGAAACGAAAAATATGATCTGACTTCAGTCATCTACTTGCCCAAGGTGTAATTTCTTCCCAGGCAGCCTGTGCAGAGCTTAGAGGCCCCGGAGAGGAGACAATGTTTCAGGAGCCAGCCAAACTGCACTGCCAGGGAAAGAAGTCTTTGCAAGATTTGCCTTTGGGACTTGAGATCTAAGCTCTAAGACTTTGTCACCAATTATTCTCTACCTAGTTCATGTACATCTGTCAGGTCTCTCGGTGAAGACATAAGTTTTGAAGGCTGGTTAAGTGTCTGTTACATCCTCTATAACATGTTGCACACAGCTGAGAACATGGTAGACGTTAAGAGGTGGTTTTGGAGTGATCCCTGAATCCTTCATCTGCTATTACATCTATTTTTAAGACACTAGAGGTGTCCTATAAACAGCACAGAGGTTAAAGTACATGCAGGGAGGATATCTAATCTAAAAAAATTAGCTCCTCTTTTTGAAACTAATTCCAAGCATGCCCCACTAAAGATTAGGTGAATGAACTTACCTTGAACATTGTTTGTTGTTTTGATTCTTAATTTATCTTCTATATTTTCTTTTTTGCAGTCAGAACACTAATTCACTTGCACCACGTCATCCCAAGAAAGTTTTATTTCACTAACAAAGTCTAAAGACAAAGAGATCAAAGAAATCTAAATAGTGTGTTAGTGTTCACTAGTCTAAAACTTGGAGATCTTGGTTCAGGATTGCTTCCCAGCAAATTTTAGATTTCTATGTAGGCTAATCTCCATTCAGGCTCAGATAGGCTAATACTTTTTTTTCTCCCATAGGAGGACAGATGTGAGAACATCTTAGCCAAGTCCTTCAAATTTATCAAAAGAATATTGCTGAAAAATACATTATTCAGCTGTTGATTCAGAAAACTTAGTTTTGCAAACTATTCCATGTTGGCCATGTTACCAGTGGCTCTGGTGAGAATGACTGTAACATCTGCTCTAAGCTAAACTATAAAGTAACTTTGTCACCCTGTCCTTTAACTAGACAGCTGAGGCTTTAAGGGGTGATGTCTAAGGTCTGCCCCATCAGCTGAAAGAGTGAGCAAATCTAAGAAGGTTCACCATGTATGAAAACATGTGGAAGCAAGAGGAATAACAGAAGGCACCGATGTGTCTGAAATACACCACCTGAAAGATGCCACCCCTCCATTTGCCAAGTCCAGCCCTTAATGACTTTCTTGCTAAGAAAGTTGCAGGGGAAAAGAACGGGGTCAGTCTGCCCTAAAACTCACTAAAAGGAGAGTTGAGGGAAATGTTTGCTGGACTGAGAGGCCCAAAGCATTTAAGATGTACGAAATGGAAAGTTGAGGTCAGAGAATTGAATTCCCTGAACTTTTCTAGCACCCACTCTCTAGGGAATTTCTGAGAAAAGCAAAAGTCAATTTCCCAACTGCTTCATTCAGAGGTTAGGGAACCTATCTCTCATTAATCCAATTATAAAACAGGGACTTCTACTTCCTCACTCATGATTAACCCCCTCACATTCTGGCATCCGTGGGTTTCCCTCTCCATTCTCAAGTAAGTGACAGAGGAGAATCTAACATCCCATCACCCCCTGTCCCCACCACAGACATACTCAAGGGGCCCTTGGTGACTTCTTCTGCCCTCGTGCCTCATTGGACCAATGATGTTGGTGAATTCCAGGAAGACTCTAACTAAGTGGACCTGGACCACTTCACAGATGAACTTTGGACATGTCACCTGAATCACAGCATGCTAGACATGTAATTTACCCCTGTATTAGTGAATATTGTAGACGTTCATTTTATTCATATCTCCTTGTTTAGAATGTCACTGCCTGCAGAATAATAATTTTTTTGTCCTTACTGAAAATGAAATGTTGTATGTGTCTATAAAACCTAGTGAATTATCATGAACAAATAGCTTTAAAAGCATGTATTCATTCTCTCTCTCTCTCTCTCTCACACACACACACACGCACACACACATGAACTTTTACTTCCTCCCTCATGATTAGCCCCCTCAAATTCATCCTGTCCAGTTCATCCAGTTTAAAGATGAGAAAACAGCCAAAGAGGAAAAATTAGTTGTACTCGTATCTTGCTAAACCAATTCTCTCTTAACACCTACCGTAAGAGCCGTCCAACTGCTTGTTCTTAAAGTTCTAAGCATTTAACCACAAATTCTTAACATGTGGTTTTCACATGTAGGGGCTTCAGAAAGGCTCAAGTTGACTATGTCCACTTCTAGACATAGTTTCCTAAGCAACAGCACATTACATTTGTGTTGGGCATTATCATATCTTTCAACTTTTCCAATACCTCACATACAGTCAAAGTAACACTCTATTAGAGTAACTAGTATTCCTGTTTGATGGATTAGGTAACTGAGGCTCAGAAGAATTAAGAGAATGGTTCAAACCTATGAAACTAATAAATTGTCCAGTCGGGTCAAATGACAAGGTGTTCCAGTACCTCCCCACTCAGAATCTTTGACCGGCAGCTGATGTCTTTTTAGGAAGCAAACAAGCCAGTGGAAAGTTGAATGAAGTTTCCCCACTCCCACCTGCTTCTGTTCTGTGCAGCCATGCTACTTCTTCAAAGTTCTGTGTCCTTGGCTAAATAAATCATAAAACAAGGGTATAAGTGTGGCCTACTCCTTTTCTCCATGTCCCTCCTGAAACACTATAAAAACTCAAGCTCTTTTTTTTCCCATTTTTCTCATCTTTTTTTTTATTATTATACTTTAAGTTCTGGGATACAGGTGCAGAATGTGTAGGTTTGTTACATAGGTATACACGTGCCATGGTGGTTTGCTGCACCCATCAACCCATCATCTACATTAGGTATTTCTCCTAATGCTATTCCTCCCCTAGCCCCCCACCTCCATCAAGCTTCATTTTTAAATCCCTGGGTATTCTCCTATTTAAAGAAATCTATGTTAAGTATTTCTATATATTACATTAATAACTTCCTAAGTTATCAGTTTCAAATGAAATAGCATTGGCTGCTGTCATAGCCACAGCCTTTCTCATCTTCCTACTAAAATACTCTGCTAAACATTTTAGGTGAAATTTTATGTAATTATTGAACAACACTATGAAATGAGTACTTACATTATCCCATTATGTAGATAAGAAAACTGAGGCACAAATTAGTAAGAAACTGTCTGATTATCACACTTGCCAAGTGACAGAGTTATAATTTAAAAGTAAACAGTCTGACTCCAGAGCCTGTGCTGTAAACCTCAAACAATAGATAATCAGTCTATACTGATTTTAAAACAGCCAACATTTTACCTGCCCCTACCTGCTATCAGCACCTTTCTCTCTACATCTATTTGGAAGATTATTCAAAATCTAGAAAATAACTTGGATGAAAACAGGAGATGATCGAGAGTGCTCTGGGAGATTCATGGCGGCACATTATCCCTGGTAGGGATAGTGCCACAAGTAAATCTCTTTAGGCAGGAACAAATGTTGGAAATAAATGAAATTTGCTCCAGTATTAGTTAATATTGTAGATGTTCATTTTATTCATATCTCTTTGTTTTAGAATGTCACAGCCTGCAGTATAAGAATTTTTTTGTCTTACTGAAAATGAAATATTCTATGTGCCTATAAATCCTTGTGAATTAGTATGCACAAATAGCTTTAAAAGCATGTATTTATTGTCTCTCTCTCTTTCCCTCTTTCTTTTTCTCTCTCTCTCTCACACACACACACACACACACACACACACACACACATGAACATGCTATCCAAAGTTATCAGCTCCCTGGTATATTTTCATTTTCATTGTTTTCATTTAAGGATATATCTTGGTGATCTTCCAAAGCAACATGTATGAATTTGCCTAATAGTTTTTTAGTTATGTGTGGTATTCCAGATGGATGCATGTAAACTTATTTATTTAACAGCTCTTAAATATATAGACATTTAGGGTGTTTCTAGGTATTTACTATTATAAGAATTACCACATTGAAAATCCTTATTCACAAGTACAAATAGATTTCTAGGATATATTTTCACAAGTGGGATGCTAGTTCAAAGGATGTAAACATTTTTCATTTAGATAATGTCAAGTTGCTTTCAACAAGCTTTTTATCAAATTATACTCCCAACATCAATTTCAGAAACATCCACATAATATCCTATACCATATTCAAATTGTATATTTTCACTCTTGTTTTATTTTCTAGAATATGTTTTTAATCAAGAATGATCCCAGTAGAATACACAAAGAAGGAAATCAGATTAACTTACTTTGGCTTTACATATGAAAAATTTCATTGAGCATGAGATTCTTGAATAAAAACAAAAGAATACCACTCAGACAAGAGTTCAGAAAATATACTTACTTTCTTGGAAAAAAAAATACTTAAATGATAAGTTTGAAAATTTCAAGACAGAACTGAAAGCTGTATAACAGGACTAACTATAAATTCCAGAAATGAAAGATATAATATTTAAAATTGAGATCTCAGTGAATGATTTTAATAGCACATTAGACATAACTAAAGAGAATTAGTGAACTGTAAGATAATCCCAGAGGAACTAAAGTACTAGTCAACCCTAAACTTCTACAAGTTGAGGATAAATTTTTAATCTCTAGAATAGACCTAAAGAAAAACTAAAATAATATGTAATTTCCCAACTAAGAAAAGCAGAAAAGGGAAACAGATTATTTAAGAAGCCAACATCACCCTGATAACAAAAATCTAGCAAAGACACTGAAAAAAGAAAATCACAGGCCAATATCCCTGATGAACATAGATGTAAAAATCCTCAACAGAATACTAGCAAATTGAATCCAGCAGCATATCAAAAAGTTAATTCATCACAATGTAGTAGGTTTTCTTCCTGGGATGCAAGGTTGGTTGAATATACGCAAATCAATAAATGTGATTCACCACATAAAGAGAATTAAAAACAAAAGCCATATGATCATCTCAATAGACATGGGAAAAGCTTTCTATAAAAGCCAATATCTTTTCACAATAAAACCATCAACAAACTGGGCATCAAAAGAACATACCTCAAAATAATAAGAGCCAGGTATGACAAACCCACAGCCCACATCACTCTGAATGCAAAAAGTTGGAAGCATTCCCTTTCAGAACTGGAACAAGACAAGAATGCTCACTCTCACCTCTCCTATTTAACATAGTACTAGAAGTTCTAGCCAGAGCAATCAGGAAAAAGAAAGAAATAACCGGCATCCAAATAGGAAAAGAAAAAGCCAAACTATCTCTGTTTGCTGATGATATGATTCTATGCCTAGAAAACCCTAAAGACTCCACCAAAAGGCTGCTAGAACTGATAAACTACTTCTGTAGTTTCAGGATACAAAATCAGTGTACAAAAATCAATAACGTTTCTACATACCAACAACATACAAGTTGAGAGCCAAATCAAGAACACAATTCCGTTCACAATTGCCACCAAAAAATAAAATATCTAGGAGGACCTCTAACCAAGGGAGTGAAAGATCTCTTCAAGGAGAATTATGAAACACTGCTGAAGAAAATCAGAGATCACACAAATAAAAAGGGAAACAGTCCATGCTCATGAATTGGAAGGACTGGTATCCTTAATATGGCTATATGCCCAAAGTAGTCTACAGCCTCAACACTACTCCTATCAAACTACCAATGTCATTTTTCACAGATTTAGGAAAAAAATTCTAAAATTTATAATGTAACCCAAAGAAATCCTGAATAGCCAAAGGAATCCTAAGCAAAAAGAACAAAGCAGGAGGCATCATATTGCCTGATTTAAAACTATACTATAAGGCTACAGTAACCTAAACAGCATGGTACTAATACAAAACAGACACATAGACCAATGGAATAGAATGGAGAGCCCAGAAATAAAACCTCACACTTACAGCCATCTGATCTTTGACAAAGTTGACAAAAATAAGCAATGGGGAAAGTATCCCCTATTTAATAAATGGTGCTGGGAAAGCTGGCCAGCTATATACAGAAAAATGAAATAGGATCCCTACCTTTTACCATATGCAAAATTAACTCAAGATGGCTCAAAGATTTAAATGTAAGACCTCAAACTATAAAAATCCTAGAAGACAACCTAGGAAATATCATTCTGCACATCAACCTTGGTGAAGAATTTATGGCTAACACCTCAAAAACAATCTCAACAACAACAACCAAAAAATTGACAAGTGGGACCTAATTAAAGTGCTTCTCACTGCAAAAGAAACTATCAACACAATAAACAGATACCCTACAAAATGGGAGAAAGTATTTTCAGCCTATGCATCCAACAGAGGTCTGATACCCAGAATCTATAAGGGACTTTGACAAATCAGCAAGTAAAAAACAAACAGCCCCACTAAAAAGTGGGCAAAGGACATGAACAAACACTTATCAAAAGAAGACATAAAAGCAGCCAACAAACATATGCAAAAATGCTCAACATCACTAATAATTAGAGAAATGCAATAAGATATCATCTTACAGAAGTCAGAATGGCTATTATTAAAAAAAAATAGATGCTGGGGAGACTGCAGAGAAAAGGGAACATTTATACACTACTGGTGGGAATGTGAATTAGTTCAACCACTGTGGAAAGCTGTTTAGAGACTTCTCAAAGAACTTAAAACAGAACTACCATTCAATCCAGCAATCTCACTGTTGGGTATATACTCAAAGGGTAATAAATTGTTCCACCAAAAAGACACATGCACTTGTATGTTCATTTCAGCACTATTCACAATACCAAAGACATGGAATCAACCTAGGTGCCTATCCATGATGGAATGATAAAGAAAATGTGGTATATATACACCATAGAATACTATGCAGCCATAAAGAAGAACAAAATCATGTCCTTTGCAGCAACATGGATACAGCTGGAGGTCTTTATCCTAAGCAAATTAATGCATGAATAGAAAACCAAATATCACATGTTCTCACTTATAAGTGGGAGCTAAACACTGGGTACTCATGGTCACAAAGATGGGAACAGTAGACACTGGGGACTATTAGAGTGGGGAGCGAAGAGGGGGGAAGGGCTGAAAAACTACCTATTAGATACTATGCTCAGTACCTTGGTGATATTATCAATCATACCCCAAACTTTAGCATCACACAATATACCAATGTAACAAACTTGTGCAAGTACCCCTGAACCTAAAATAAAAGTTGAAAATTTTAAAAATTAAAAATAAAGGAAAACAGAATATGTTTGATTAAATCAAAATATATAAGAACAGATGAAACAATTGGAATGTGTTTGTAAGATTGTAGGTCTAGATGCAAATTTATCGTTATTATATTCGATGAGAATGGAATAAATCATCTAATTTTAAACCAAAATGGATATACTAGATGAAATTCAAACCTATACTGTTAACAAGAAACACACCTAAAACACAAGGACACTGAAAAGTTGAAGGTTAAAGAATGGAAAAAGACTTACCCATCCAAACTCAAAGACCTCTGGTGAAGCTATAATATCATACAAAATATATTTAAAAGCAGAAAACTACTATAACTGGAACATTTCATAATGATATGATTCCATTCACCATTAGAGTTATAATACTATTCTGGATAAATTTTTAAGGAGTCATTATCTTTTAAAGATATATTCTGAAACATTTACAAAATAAATTACATAATGCCTAAGTTTTTTTCAAAATGTTATGGGGGATGAGGTAAGAGGTAGATGCGGATATAAATAAAACAAGCTCAGCCATGAGTTATCTGTGGAAATTATGTTATGGGTAAAAGAGATTCTTTATACTATACTGTCTATTTTGATATATGTTTACATGTTCGATAATAAGAAGGTTACAAAATGATTCTAGCAAGCATCACAGCCAGATGCCTTTCAAGAAGAGCTCTATTTGGTCCTGTGAGTTCAGTTGGTGATTCTGTTGCCTGATCCAACTAGATGGTTGGCTAACTCTGCAGACTATTTTGGAATGACTCTTTTATGCAAGGTGTTCATCAGAATGCCAAAGGATAGAGTGGAGACTTAACTGAGTTTGCTGTATGACAGTTGTATGCCTATTTGCATTGACATGTGTTATAGGTAGCAAAAAAATAATATGTGGAATCAGTGGCTTTTATACCTATGTCAAACAATTCCCTATAATAGGCAACACTTGAAATGTGCATGACCTGTGGAGGGAAAAAAATGTTAAAACTCTGCTGAAGAACACAAAAGAAGACATGAACAAATGGAAAGATGTATCATGGTTTTGGATAGGAAAACTCATAGCATTATAGTGTCTATTCTTTCTAAATACATTTATAAGTATTTATAAAATATACATTTGACTTCAAACATATTTTTAAAAATATCCAGAAGTTTGAAAAAGTAGAGCAACAAAAAGGACCTAGCCCACCAGATATTAAAACATTCTGTACAACTTCCAGAATAAGAAACAACGTGGCTCTGGATACTCCAGAAGCCATAAAGGAAAATAATGATAATTTACATAAAAAGAAAAGACTTCTGTATGTTAAAAAACCATAAACAAAGTCAAAAGACCAATGACCAGGACAAAAATCTACAGTTCACTTTGGAAAGGACTAATTTTTATATATAAATAATTATTAGAATATAATAAGAACCACAACCCAAAAATGAATAAATAATAGAAACAGTTTACAAAAACTACAAATGGCCTTTAAATATATGAAAAGATCTGTCAGAACCTGTTTGAGAAAAAATAAATAAATAAAATTATTTCAACGTTATTCAACATAAGAGAAATATAAATTTAAATTATACTGTGCTCCCATTTTTCATCTATCAGTTTAGCAAAATCTCAGAATTTAACAATACATTTTGCAGGAAAGACAAATTTGTTGGTGAGAGTACAAGTTGGTATGACTACTGTGAAGGGCAATGTGGTCATCTCTATCCAATTACAAAGAAATACGTACTTTCTGGATGATTCATGATGTTAAGCACCTTTTCATATAACTGTTGGTCATTTGTATATCTTCTCTAGAGAAATGTCTATTTAAGTTCTTAGCCCATTTTTAAATCAGGCTATTAGTTATTTTGCTATTGAGTTTTATGAGTTTCTTATATATCTTAGAGATTAGCCCTTTGCAGATATATGGCTTGCAAATATTTTCCTCCATTCCTTAGGTTGCCTTTCCACTCTGTTGATTGTTTCTTTTGCTGTGCACCTTTTTTGTTTGATATAGTCTTGCATTTTTATTTTTGCTTTTGTTACCTATGCTTTTGTTGTCAAACCCATAAAATCATTACAAAACTCAACATCATAAAGCTTTTCCCCTATGTTTCCTATGTTTTCTTTTAGGAGTTTTACAGTATCAGGTTCTACATTTAAATCTTTAAACCATTTTGAGTTGATTTTTGTGTACGGGGTGATATAAGGGTCTAACTTCATTCTTCTGCATGTGGATATTCAGTTCTCCTAATGCCATTTACTGAAGAGACTGTTCTTTCCTCATTGTGTATTCTTGGCACCCTTGTCAAAAAACAGTGGATCATATACATGTGGATTTGTTTCTGGGCTCTCTATTCTATTCCATTGGTCTATGTCTGTCTTTATGCCAGTACCACACTGTTTTAATTACTATAGCTTTGTAATATATTTTAAAATCAGGACATGTGAAATCTCCAGCTTTGAAAAACTTACATTTGATCCAGCAGTTATATTTTTGGAAATATAACTTACAGATTAGTTTTACATATTTAAATTAAGGTTATTTGCTGCCACACTATTGGAAAACAATCCAAATACCCATCAGTAGAAGACTACCTAAGAAAATAATGGTATGCAAACACCACATGTTCTCACTCATATGTGGAAGTTGAACAATGAGAACACATGGACACAGAGAGGGAAACAACACACACCAGGGCCTGTTGGGGGGTGGGGGGTGAGGGGAGGGAACTTAGAGGGCAGGTCAATAGGTGCAACAAACCACCATAGCACACATATACCTATGTAAACAACCTGCACATTCTGCACATGTATCCCGGGTTTTTTTTAGAAGGAATAAATAAAAAAAAGAAAATAATGGTATGTTCATTTTATGAATACCACAAAACCATAAGAAAAGAATGAAGACTATTTCCTTGTTCAAATATTTTAAAACTCCCAGATACACTGTTAATAAGTTTCAGATGCATTTATATAGTATGCGATCACTCATGTAAAAGGTAGAAATAAATGAGAACATACATATTATACTTGTATTTGCTTAAAGAAACTCTGAAAGAGGTGGGGCAAGGTGGTTCAGGCCTGTAATCCCAGCACTTTGGGAGACCTGGATTGGGCTAATCACATGAGGCCAGAAGTTCAAGATGAGCCTGGCCAACATGGCGAAACCCCATCTCTACTAAAAGTACAAAAAGTAGCCGGGCATGGTGGCTCGTGCAAGTAGTCCCAACTACTCAGATGCTGAGGCAGGAGAATCATTTGAACCTCGGAGGCAGAGGGTGCAGTGAGCTGAGATCATGCCACTGCACTCCAGCCTGGACAATAGAGCAAGACTCTGTCTCAAAAAAAGAAACTGAAAAAAATACAGGAAACTAAGGAAACCAAAAGAGAAAGGGGGAAAGTAGAAATGGGGAAAGGAATGAAATGACACTTTTCACTTGCGTATCTTTTCATTTTATTTTATTTAAAACTCAATGAAGATTACCCTTGCACAAAAGTAAAATAAAAATTTAAGTAATTTTTCAAAGAAAATATGTCTCTAATTAATGGTGTAGGATAATCTAAACACAAAAACAATGGAATAAATCATTTTAAAAACTAATTATCCTGGATCATTTTACATTGTGTGCATGTGTCAAAATATCACTCTGTATCCCATAAATATGTACAATTATTAAGTGTCAACTAAAAATAAAAGGGGAAAAATAAAATATAAAACTTAAAACTGATAGATTTTACTGTAAAGAAATGTCAGCTTTGAAACATTGAAAACTTTGTAAATAAGGCTCAAAACCAATTAAACATGAAAACGTTCACGCTTGCAAAAAATTAAAAATGCAAATTAAACAATGGTAAGATGTCTTTCTAATTTACAAAACTTTATTTTTATTGTTATAGATTTGGGGGTACAAATGTTGTTTTGTTAGATGGATATATTATATACTGGTGAAGTCTGCATTTTTAGTGTAGCCATCACCCAAATAGTGTACACAGTAACCATTAAATAATTTCTCATCCCTCACCCCTCCCCTATTATTAACTTTTTGTTATAAAATGATTTGACCTACAAAAACTTCCAAAAAAGAATTCTTGTTTTCCCTTAATCCAGATTTCCCAAATATTGGTATTTTGCCACATTTTCTTTATCCTTCATGCTCTCAATAAATAGATATGTAGACAAACAGATGGGTAGAAATTTTCTGATACAGGGGAAGTGTGGAGAAGTAGGTCAAAGGATGCAAACTTGTAGTTACATAGAATAAACAAGTCTAGAGATCTAACGTGCAACATAAGGACTATAGTAAATAATATGGTATTGTATCCTGGAAATTTGCTGAGAGTAGATTTTAGGTACTCTTACCATTAAAAAAAAGCAAACTCTGCAAAGTGATAAGTATGTTAATTTGCTTGACTAATAATTTCTTTGTGTATAGTATAGGTATATCAAAACAGTATGTTGCTCACCTTAAAGATATACAATAAAAATAATAATTTTTCTGAAATGTTTGAGAGCTGCCAATATGATGTCCCTCCATCTCTAGATATCTCAATAAGCAATTCCCTAATCCAAGAACATTCTTTGAGACAAGCACAGTACAATGATCAAAATCAGGAAATTAACATTCATGTAATTTTATTATCTCATCTACAGAGTTTTGCCCCACAAATGTCCTCTATCTAATATCCAAGATCCAATCCAGGATCACATGTTGCTTTACTTGTCACCTATCTTTAATCCAGAGTAATTCTTCTTTCTTCATCTTTACACATTTGAAGAGTTAAGGACAGTAATTTTGCAGAATATTCTTTCTTTGGGCTCTCCTTGTGTTTTTTTATGATTAGACTCAGGTTGTGTATTTTTGGTAAGAATAGCACAATAATGATATTGTGTGCCTCTCCAGTGCACCATATCAAGAGGCACATGGCATCAATGGATCTTATTTCTGGTGATACTCACTTTGGGCAATGGTTTAGAGGGGAAGGGCTATAAAGTTACATTTTTCTCTCTGTAATTAATACCCCTTGGTGTCCTAAGGAAAGATACTTTGAAACAATGTAAAATCATTTCTTATCCAAAAAAAAGTGTTTAATGACAGGATTCTATTCTGTCAAGAGCACTTTCACAAGATAGGTGACTCAGTGTAACACTGTGCACCAAAAGTCTTTATACTCTAACACTAAATTCACTCTAGGAAATAAGCCTAAAAGAAAGTCAGAAGCATGGTTAAAAATGTCTATTCAAGAATATTAACTACAGTGTTATTTATGGTGGTAAAAAATTAGTACCTCCACAAAAAGAAATACTATTCAAGTTATGAAAATGAACTTTTTAAAGAGAGAGGCCAGGTAGAATAATCTGCAACTAACAGGTCCTGTGAACTTTCCTTCAACCTATTCTGCTCCTTCAGTTTGGACTCAACAGTCATTCTAAACCCAAGTATCAATACAAAGACTCAGCCTCTATTTCTCATTTAGTCTCAATGTCCTAATCCACAGCCTCTTCATGGCCTTCCTCATTTCAGCATTTCTCAGAGAGTAGATGACAGGGTTCAGGATCGCGGTTATCACTGTGTAGAACACAGCCACCATCTTGTCTATGGGCAGAGTGGTAGAAGGCCTCAGAGAGTTGAAGACGCAGGGCCCAAAGAACAAGATAACCACAGCGAAATGGGACCCACAGGTGGAGAGGGCTTTGCACCACCCTTCAGAGCTCCAGGTTCTCAGATGGAGCAAGATGACCATATAGGATGCTAAGAGGACCCCAAAACTGATCACAGACAGGGTGCCTCCATTGGCAACAATCAGCAGACCAATGAGGAAGGTGTCAGAGCAGGCAAGTTTGAGAAGGGGAACTAGGTCACAGAAATAGTGATTGATCACATTGGGGCCACAGAAGAGCAGGTGGAAGATGAGAAGGATTTGTGCAAAGGAATGCATGAAGCCTCCCACCCATGCTATTCCTACAAGGACAGTACACACCTGCCAGTTCATGATGGTGGTGTAGCTGAGGGGCTTGCAGATGGCCACATAGTGGTCATAGGCCATCACAGTGAGCAGGAAAATCTCAGTGCCACCAAAGAAGTGCAAGAAGAAAAGCTGTGCCATGCAGCCCCACCAAGATATGACTTTCCTTTCAGCCAGCAGATCTGAGATGAGTTTGGGGGCTGTAGCGGAGGAGTAGCAGATCTCCATGAAGGAGAGGTAGCTGAGGAAGAAGTACATGGGGGAACCAAGGCTTCTGCTGGTCATGACAGTGAGCACAATGAGGAAATTCCCCAGCACAATTGCTGTGTACAAGAACAGAAATATCACAAAGCAAACCCTCTGCACCTCCTGGTTGGGAGAAAGTACCAGAAAAATGAATTCAGTCATGTTGTGTATGTTAGCCAAGAGGTCATCATCAAGAGGCAGCAATTTGGGTGGTGTGATCTGAAATGATACAAAATACTTCTTCACTCAGTGGGTGAATTACATGAAAGCCCTTGCATAGCTGAGATGCTTCTGAGTTGGAAATTGAAAGGTGAGTAGGAGTTAGTTATGTGTAGAAGGGAAGAGCATTCCAAGAAGGCAGAGAGCAAGTACAAATGCTTTGTGTGTGGCTGGAATAAAGGGGAGAATAGCAAAAAAATAAAGCTGTAGATAGACATTAGTACCAATTTGTGAAGGACTGTTAGGGCCTTTGAGGACCCTAGCAGTCCCAAAGTGTTTTTCCTTTTAGTTGATGAACATGCTTGATGATTCCCCATTGTCTGCAGGATCAGACAAAGTCTGTAGTATGTAGAACTAAAGTGTGGAAAGGGCTGTCCAGTGGAAACAGATTAGAGGAGGAGCTCTATTAGGAAGTTAATAAGTCCCTCATTGGATGATGTGGAACAGCCAGGATAGTGTTACTGTCTCCATGTTAGATGAGTGTTTTAAATTATCTTGTGCCTACAGCTTTCCTTCATGCCACTTCCTTCTCCTTTTTTTTTTTTTTTTTTTTTTTTTTTTTTTTTTTCAGACAGGGGCTCACTTTGTCACCCAGGCTGGAGTGCAGTGGTGTGATCTTGGCTCACTGCAGCCTTGACTTCCCCCAGCTCAAATGATCCTCCCACCTCAGCCTCCTGAGTAACTAGGACTACAGGCATGTGCCACCATGCTCTGCTAATTTTTATATTTTTTGTAGAGATAGGGTTTCACCATGTTGCCCAGGCTGGTCTAAAGCTCCTGAGCTCAAGCAAGCCACCCACTTCAGCCTCCCGAAGTGCTGTGATTATAGGCATGAGCCACTGCTCCTGGCCTTCTTTTCTATCCTTGGTTTGCAGAACAGTGTCCTCAACCTCTCCACATACCATTCAGAGTCTTTAGAAGAGATATCCCTAGTGGACCTCCTTTGACAATCAACATCTCCTCTTATTTCTGCTTCTCCCTCTAATTCTCACATTCTACACTTGGTCACTTGGTGAGCTTGTCCCCTTCCAAGGGCCCAGCTCAACTTAATCCATGTATGATTCTCCTCTTTACTGGGGCTTTCACTTTCTCCAGTCACATCCTCCAGTGGCAACAAAGGTCCAACACCCCCCATACACACACACACACACACACACACACACACACACACACACACATCCCAGTGCCCCCTCATGCTCTGACACATCCTTCTCCACAGCCCAGGCTTTCAACACCTCAGAGCATCACCAAGACTGCTCAGGACTGATTGGCAGGCTGTCCCAGTCCATGCTGAACTCTGTCCAAGGTGGCTAAGGTTTTGTATATCCACATAGCCTCTCCTACAGTAACACTCCAGGCCACCTGAGCCTGGGAGCCAGATCACTTCCACTCACACCACAAGGCTTCCTTGCTTCCATGATTGGGACAATCTCAGGTGATTAAAGACCACCACGAACCAGAAGGAAATCACTGATAGAACATATAGTTACAGAAACAGAGAAAGGACAGACGCCAGCCCCAAAATCTCAGATCAGCTGGGGAACTTTACCAAGAAGCTGCTCACAGAAGAGAGCACTAACAGTCTGGACTCCTGGATTTATAGTCATATTTTTCAGGGAGTGTCTGTGTAAGATCTAGAAAGTTCTTTAACCTCTCAGAGACTCAAGGTCTAAACTGTAACATGCAGATAATGCCTGCCTCACAGGTAGGTGCCATAAATCCCACTCCCAGCCCCATCCCAGGATAAGTTAAGGGCCAGTCCTATGTCCTGCCCCGGATTCCTCTCCAAGCCAGCTCCACAGTTTACAGGCCCCCTCTGCCAGGGGCCCCTCTTCTCTCAGGACATTTTGGGATCCCGGCACTTACCACACTGAATTATCATTGTTTTTGTGTGGCCACCTGCCCACTGGAGTGTGGGTTTCCTTACGGCAGAGATGATCGTTGCCCACCACTCCACCTCCAATGCTTACTGCAGTGCCAGCCATGCAATAGCCTTCAATGAATGTAGATAGGATGAATAATATTGGATATGTATCTTCCCAGCCTTCTTAGCACAGTATTTGGTAGGTTGGTGTTCAGTAAATATCGAGGAAGAAAGTTCCCCAAGGACTAACACCACGCCTTCTTCATCTCTGAATCCCAGAGCCTAGCACTTGTGTTTGTCTCAAAGACCAGATGGAGGCGAAAGCCCTTTGTAATGTGCTATACACTTCCTGGAACCATTCTCTTTACTTTCAAGGTGGAATCAATCATTAGTACAAAAGAAACCCATGGTCACAAACAAAACTCACCCCAGTGTTTCTGTGGCTTTGCTGTTCTCACCAGTTGCCTGTTCTGTCTAACCCCGGAGAGGTAAATAACACCCTGAGAATGGCCCTAGGCTCACACAGGTTTCCCAGTTAGCCAATCAAGAAGAATTACAAATGGCCACACTATCAGCCAGAGCTGCTGCCTCACTGGAGTTCCAAAACGGAGAGGATCTGCTCCCCTGCACCCTCAGGCTTGGAAATGCTGAGAAATGCTAAGCCACTGGGGTTTCAATTATACCTAATTTAAAACGAGCAAAGTAGACTTGCCCCCCAAGGTGTTCCACAAAAAACTTAAAGCCTGGCAGCTCAGCCCTGAGTTCATACTGCTTAAAAGACACCGGGGGAGGAGGTAAGTGATCAGGTGAGAGAAGTTCGTTCCCCAGAGAGCCTCACCCTTTCCCCTTCCTAATCAGGCAGACCACCTGATTAGGACCTCAAATTACTTGTAGGAAATAACTTGCAGAAAACAACTCACACTTGTAGGAAAATCTCAAACTTCCTTGTAGAAAACAAGTTCAGAAATCAGTAGGAATTGTGAACAAATTCAATTCACCCCATGTTTGCACTTACTCTGCCTGGGGCTGTTCAGAAGTTCATGAACGACCCCTCCCCCCCTGCTTATCAAGAACTCAGTCGTGTGACCTTACATAAAGTGACACTATTCAGAATAGTGGGCCCATGGGATAGAGACCACAAGTGTCAGGAAACTGTATTAGCACTTCTCTGTGTCTTTGGTGTGGATGAGTTATGGATCATTCACCATAGTAGAGTTATGGTTCTCTACTGGGGGCAATTTTGCCCCCAGAGGATATTCGACAAGGTCTGGGAACATTTTCCATTGTCACAAACTGGCTGGGAAAGGAGTGCTGCTTACATCTAGTGGGTAGAAGCCAGGGATGCTGTGAAACCCCCTACAATG